>NC_000006.12:157192002-157343517 GCF_000001405.40 Homo sapiens
TATTTCATGTACAACATTTCAGGTAACACTCATAAAGCAAGATCATCTATGATTTTTTTCTTTCAAAAGTTTCAGGGCTGCTTATTCCAAGTGAGGATTTTGTAGGACATGCAGTAAATCCATAAGCTTAGAATTTCAAAAGCTTTGTGAATGTTGGGGTAGCTGTTTTTCTTAGTGGTATGAGATGCTAGACAGAACATTTCGTTAGTGCTTTTGGTGGCTTTAGACTCTGAAAATATGACAACATGGAAAAAAATAATTAGTAGTATTTAGAATTTGGCCTCAAAATGTATTGCAAACCATTCCCATATCCCACCGATACACCACATTAGACAACTATAGGTGTATTTCCCTCGTGTCCTCATGCCTAGAATTTCTTATTACAAAAATAAATTTGTGGGGGTGGAATGATTCTGGGATCACCTTGCTAGGCCCTAGGTAGATATATGCAGATACTTCTCACCTTACAGTGGGGTTACATCAGAAGAAACCCATCCTAAATTGAAAATATTGGTAAGTTGAAAACACACTTTCACTTACGATATTTTTGATTGACAATGAGTTGATCCGGACATAACCCCATCTTAAATTGAGGAGCATACTGAATGCCTGTCGCTTTCACACCATCATAAGGTTGAGCCATCCTACTTTGGTGACTGTCTGTAATGTTGTTTTCATCAACCATGTAAATGATCCCCGGTGGCAAGTACAATCCCTAGTGTATTTCAGTTCACCTGCTGCCTTACGGTATTGATGTATTCAGTACCAAATTAAAGCAGATAAACAGAAAATCCACGGGAAACACATTTTCTAAGAGTCTTAATCCTGTTGTGTATAGTTTTCCATTCTTCAGTTTGCCTTACTCTGTCAGTAAACTTAATGGTGCTCTGATTTTTTATTTAATGACTAACTTCAGTGGAAAACATACTCTTTGTCGCTGTTGCTGCTGCTGGTGGTGTTAACCTGTAGTACAAGTAGCATGGTCAGAGTCTGATCTAATATTAGCCCTCAGTAGCCCTGAGGGGCCTGGCCCTGCCTGTTCACCGGCCTGCCTTCCCTGCCTTCTTACTTCCTTACTTCACTGATTGAGGCATTGATTGATTACATATAAATGAACATCATTTTATATGTTTAACAGAATAGTATATATCGAATTTATATTATTATCTGTACACATAGCTCTACTTTTTTTAATTGAATAGATACACCCTAATGCTCTAGTAATGGGTGAGTTGTTCCATAATCTTTTCTATTATAAACAATGAAGCAGTGATTGTTGAAGTACAGTTTTTTCACATTGTAAGAATGTTTCTGCGAAATAGATTCCTAGAAGTAGAATTGTTGAATCAAAGGATATGAACTTTTTTTTTAGTTTACTGAGTATCTCAGCTTTTACAGTATAACAAACTACCCCCAAATCTTAGTGGCTTTAAAAACAGTAACACTTAATTATATCTCTCAGTTCTGTGGTAGACTGGGTAGTTCTTCGCTCTGTGTGTCATGTTGTCAGCTAGGATATTGAGGTGGCCGCCATCATCTGGGAGCCAGGCTGAGAGCTCTGCTGGGCTCTGATGTCTCTCAAGTGGCTGATGTCATCCCCAGGCTCTACTGGGACCTCAACTGGAGCTGTTGGCTGCAGCCTCCTCCATGGGGCCTTTCCATGTAGTTTCTTAGGTGCCTATAACATGGCAGATGGATTTCAAGAGGGAGCACTCCAAGAGGACAGGTCCCGGGAGCAAGCAGTTAAAAACTTTTGCTTGCATCTCACTTGCTGGAGCCCTCTTAGGCAATGCTAATCACATGACCAAACCCAAAGGCATCATGGGAGGGGTTTCCCAGGCTGCGAATGCTGGGAGATGCACTTCTTTGGGGGTTGCCAAAGCACAGCCTCCCATAGCAGGTAAAGCAGGTATTGGCAAAGCTTATACCAGCTTAATGTTCTCAACAAAAGCATGTGAGAGTGTGCGGGTTCTCACCCCCTTACTAAGAATGATCATTGTCCATCATTTTAACATTGGCCAATCAGATGGAAGGGGGAAGGCCTCATTACTGTTTACCTTGGATTCATTCCATTATTAGTGAACTCACACATCTTTTCATATGTTGATTGACCATTTGTTTTTCTTTTGTGAATGTTCATTTATGTGTTTGCCCATTTTTAATTTGATTGTTGCTTTTCCTGTTGATTTTTTTAAATTTCCTTGTGTATTAGAGAAAAGCTATTTAATTATGTCACGTGATTTCTTTCTATCTCTGTTTTCACATCTACAAAATAGAAAGTAACTTCAAAACTGGTTCTACCACAGGTTGATGTGAGATCAAATAGATAAAACAGGTGAAAGCACATTGCAAAGGAAAATACTTGATGCTGGCATTGGCCCCTCTCTACCAGCCTAACAAAATGTATCTACTCATGAAATCTTAACCAGCTTTTGCTTCACATAACATAAAAGTAACTATCATAGGATGGAGAAAGGTAGCAATACTGTATAACGATGAAAATTTATATTAAAATGTTTAATTTGCCTTCAGGCTAGTTTCTGGACTGAACACAATTTCCTTCAGGCTCTGAGCTGATGCTAATTTGCATGTACTACCTACTTGTCACTCCATCCTGTGTTAGAAATAGTTGTATTTCATCCCATCTTGAGCTATTCTTAACTCCTTAATAATTTTTTTAATCCTTATTTTGGAGTGAATCAGTGGCTGAATGTTAAGGTTTTCACCTTTTTTCTTATGGGAGAAGGGAACTAACTTTGTATACATATTTTATGTCCTCCTTACAACCATTTCATGAGATAATATTACTGGCCTCATTTTATAGACAAGAAAATAGGGGCCAGGTGATGACTCATGCCTGTAATTCTAGCACCTCAAGAGGTTGAGGAAGGCAGGCAGATCACTTGAGCCCAGGAGTTCGAGGCTACAGTAAGCTACGATTTCACCACTGCAGTTGCAACATTGCACCTCTTATCACTAGGTGATACAGCGAGACCCTCTCTCTAAAAAACATAATAAAAATGTTGAAAAGAAATGAAATTAAACTCAGAGGTAACTTACCCAAGTAAGGAATGGATCTGGGCCTGTATTAGTTTTCTATGTTGTTATATAACAAGTTACCACAAACTTAGCAGCTTAAAACAACATAAATGTATGATCCTCCAGTGTCTGTGGATCAGGAATCTGGCACAGTGTGACTGGGCCTCTGCTCAGGGTCCCACAGGCTAAAATCAAGGTGTCTGCCAGCACTGTGAGCTCTTTGAAGGCTCAGGGTCCTCGTCCGAGTTTATTTAAGTCATTGGCAGAATTCACTTGCTTGTGTTTGTGAGGCTGCAGTCCCGTTTTCTTGTTGACTATCTTCTGCCCACCTTCCCTAACACGTGATCCCCCTCCACAGCATGCCAGTTGCTTCTTCAAGGCCAGCAGGAAAATATCTCTGACTTGCTTCCTCTCTAAGCTCTAGATCCAAACTTAAAGGGCTACCTGGACAATCTCCCTTCTGTTTAAACTCACAATCGGCTGATTAGTAACTATAATCACATCTGTTAAGCCCCTTTTGCCATGTAACATACATAACATAATCATGGGAGTGATACCATCGTATTCATAGGTCCCACCCACACTGAAGGGGAGGGGCTCATGGAAGGTGCCCACCGGGCAGGGGGTGCTGGATCTTCGGGGCCATCTTAGATTTCTGCCCCCACAGAGCACATCTTGGCTCCACAACTTATGCTCTTTCAATAGTATTATGGTCTATCATATTAAGAAAAAGTACAGGCCAGGCGCAGTGGCTCACGCCTATAATCCCAGCATGTTGCAAGGCTGAGGTGGATGGATCACCTGAGGTCAGGAGTTCAAGACCAGCCTGACCTACATGGTGAAACCCTGTCTCTACTAAAAATACAAAAATTAGCCAGGTGTGGTGGTGGATGCCTGTAATCTCAGCTACTTGGGAGGGTGACGCAGGAGAATCGCCTGAACCCGGGAGGCAGAGGTTGCAGTGAGCCAAGATCACACCACTGCATTAGCCTGGGCGACAGAGTGAGACTCCATCTCAAAAAAAAGAAAAAGTCCAAAGACAATAGAGATGACTAGAAGGGATGGATGGGCCTTTGACTTTCAGAAATGCCTAAATGTATGCATTTTATTTAAAATATTGCAGTGCCTGGAAGCAGCGAGCCCTTTATGACGCAAGGACAGATGCCCAACAGCAGCATGCAGGACATGTACAACCAAAGTCCCTCCGGAGCAATGTCTAACCTGGGCATGGGGCAGCGCCAGCAGTTTCCCTATGGAGCCAGTTACGACCGAAGGTGAGTATTTTTTAAGATGACAATATGATGATTTACTAGAAACCGTGCTTTCCTCACACACACATTTCTGAGCCCTGGCAGCTGAGCCACTGATGACAATATACAGTGTCCCCTTTCCTGTGAAAGTAAAGAGGCAATGGCTGCTGGTCACCAGGTGAGTGTCAGGTGGCTGCCCTCAGTAGATGGCTATTCAGGACCAGGGAGAAGGACCTTGGCCTTGGTAGGAGTCTTCTTCCCGAAGTCAAGAGCCAGGGCCGCCACAAGTCACGCTGGCACCCGGCACCAGCACCCAGCTTCCTTCTGAGGGACTGCCAGCTGCACACTCCAGACATGGCTCGCCTGGAGCTCCTGGATGCCTGGGCCTCCACAGCACCCGCTCCCCTCCCTCCCTTCTTTCTGTCTGGGGGAAAGGCCTGTGCAGTGGTAGCCACACTGGGCTTTCAGCATTCTGGAAAGGTCTTCCAGGCAGTGCTTTTCCCCTGTGAATATTTTAAACAGAGGGACAATACTTTGCTCTTTAATAAACATCTCTAGAAAACCCACAGCACAGGCCTCACTGCAGCCTCGCTTAAGGAAGTCATCTTGAAATGACTGAAAATGGCAAGTTAAACTTGCAAGTTAAAATGGCAAGTTCAGCTGCAGGACTGATGATGCAGAGTGATTTGTAACTAGATAGGAGGAAAAGTTATTGAAATGGCTCTGAAAGGTAACCTGAAAACTGCTTCCTAAGATGATGGCATAGGGTAGGCTTCTTTTTGTGAAGAAAGTCCCTTGCCTGGGCCCTGACTTCAATACTCATTGTCACAAAAACCCCTTCCCCTTGTTGGGTATGTTCTCTACCTCCTAGTAAGAGACATGATGATAAGCAAGGTTTTCATATAATATTTCAGATTTTTAAAGAAAAAAGATAGAGGCATAATAGAAGGGCTTTTCCCTCCCCGGAGCCACAGTGTGTGCCACAGGGTGGAGCTGACTTCGGGATCGCGGCCTTCGGAAGCTGCGTGTGCTGTTCTACCGGGGACCGGCTGGGCCAGAGCCGCTCACCTTTCATCAGCCCACATGCTGGGGTCACAGGGATGGGTCAGTGGGAAAGCTTCCTCAGTGTAATACAAAGGAGAAAAAGGTTGAAAAATCACGGCTTTACCAAATGAGGTTTCTTTATGGTATTGTCTGTGAGCCTTGTTCTTGAGAGTCCATCCCATGTTTAAGGAGACACGGTGCTTTCTCCTAGGGACCTAGGAATTTACTCTTCTAATTCTTAACCCGGCCATAATACGGCCAATATTTACTTGTGATATATTCGTTAATCAGTTAACCATAAGGTAACATTTAGTGTGCTGAATCAAGGATTTCAGTTAGGTTTGTTTTGTTTCTGAGGGTCCAGGAAAAGCTACAGATGTTTTTTTGGGGGGGGTAGCTGGCAAGATTAGAAGAACAATTATCTGGGCTCTATCTACCACATTAAAGAGAGGTTTACCTCATTGTTAAGTTTTCTCTTCTGAAAAATGTTGCTTGTTAGGCAACTTAAATTTTACCCATGTCAATTACATTTCTTTCCTCCTATCTCTGCATTTCCTTCTTAGATATCAAAGTAGTTATCAAAAGTTCCCGTGTCTGTTTCACATGTGATAGTCTAAAAATTCAGTTATTTGTTTTTATTATTCTCATTCCTTGATCAGCTTAGGAATATATTCAGTCCATTGTTCCCTTTCTTACAAGATTTAGTATATTAAACCAATGTATTTTTCAAAGTTCCAAATCTATTGTCTTTTAAAACATGCTATTTTTTATGGTATTTATAATTTCTTAATATACTAGTAGTTGAAAAATGAATGTATTATTCATTTCCATTTTAAGATGTAATAGGTGTACATTTGAATCATCCCTGTTATTCTTTTCTGGAGCCTTTTAGGGCATAGGACTGTGAAATTCTGAGCACTTGTATTTATATAATGATTAGCTAACATTTGAATTAAATTTGAAGTATAGCTTTTAAAAATTAAACATTTTCCATTCATAATGAGAATGTGCAAAGTACAAACATTTTGATGTTCTGGCACTTGTAGGAACATTGCCTTTGAGTCTTAAGTTCTTCTTGCTGTTTCTTGCTTCCCTTAATGCCTGTCATCACAGCACTGTACGACACTTCCTAAGGTACACGTCAGTGGACAGGCGGGGCTGCGGCCTCCAAGCAGAGGCCAGAGGCTCTAACAAGTGCTTACAGGGTGCCTGCCTGCTCAACCGGTATTCCTCTGACACCTATTAGCCAACAGCCCAAACTAGGAGCTTGGCACCATTCCCAAAATGGGTGTTCCCATCCCTGGTGCTAACAGTTGGCGTGCAGCTGCCTCTCAGAGGGCCTTTGTCGGAGGGGTGCGCAGTAAAAGCCACACAGAGCTGCTTGAGGGAGTCAGGGTTCCAGAAATGGATTGTTTATTTCTCTGTTTGCCTGAAGCTTTTTCTCAGTTAAGTTTTCTTTGAATGCCTCATTCCAGGCATGAACCTTATGGGCAGCAGTATCCAGGCCAAGGCCCTCCCTCGGGACAGCCGCCGTATGGAGGGCACCAGCCCGGCCTGTACCCACAGCAGCCGGTGAGTTGGCAAGTGGGCGTGGGGTGCTGTGTTTTCTGGTTCTGTCCTGGAGGCTAAAACTCAAACTTGTCTTACTTCTGAAGATTTTCAGACATCTAACAAAAATGATTAGTGTTTGTTGAGCATTCAGGATATAGTTAATGCTAGAAAGTACTCCTGGGATGTTGAAGTCAGCAAATTAAAAATAACTCTTGATACACGGTTTCTTGAAACACATATGACCTGTAATAAGAAGTTGAGTGTATTCATCCTTGTAAATAATAACAAGCCCAAGCTAGAATTAGTATATTTTAAACATGTATCTATTGTGCATACTGTTGTATCAGAAGCCATTTTAGAACAGAAATTTGTCAATGCTTTAAGGAGAATGTGTAGAAAAGCAACTTAAAATATTGTATACTAATAGTGAAAGTGAATTGGCTTATTTAAAAATGAGATAAGATGCTAATGATACTTATTTTGAATAAGTAGGACAGGTTTTTGCTGGTTCACAGGTGACCATTGCAGCTCAGAGATGCTAAGTTACGCAGGATCTCCCCCTTACAGTGACCAGTGCCGCTGCAGGAACCGCCCTTCGTGGTGTGGCTTTCCAGACATACAGGACTTTGCTGTTTTTAAAAAACTTTTCAGATCTGAGAACTCTTGCAAAAAATAAAAATTTTGAAAACTATATATATGTTATATAATTATAATAATTATATATAATAATATGTATATCATTTTTCATTTATTTAATTTTGCTGGAGCATATAGGCACAAGGAATTGCTTTTTTTCTTTTTTTGAGATGGAGTCTCGCTCTGTCTGGAATCCAGTGGTGCAATCTCGGCTCACTGCAACCTCTGCCTCCTGGGCTCAAGCGATTCTCCTGCCTCAGCCTCCCAAGCAGCTGGGACTACAGGCACCCGCCACCATGCCCAGCTAATTTTTGTATTTTTACTATAAGAGACGGGGTTTCACCATGTTGGCCAGGCTGGTCTTGAACTCCTGACCTCAGGTGATCCTCCTGCCTCAGCCTCCCAAAGTGCTGGGATTACAGGCGTGAGTCACTGCGCCTGGCCAGTGAATTGCATTATTAAACCAACTGATCTTAAACAGTTTTCAAGTAAAGTGGAAAACATCAGCATCTCACTGCCTCCCATCAGAGTCCCACCTACCCCGATTAAGCACTGGTCCCGGAGCATCCTGGGAAGCAAGCTTAATAACAGGTGTGGTCCCAGCCCTGTCCTCAGTGCTGGGACCAGTGGGGCTTTGGGGGAGCCACACCTGACCAGGCCAGAAGTCAGGGCAGGAGCCGTGGGATGGATGTTGGGTGACACGGGCCAGTCTGGGGAGCCGAGTCCTGTTCGGGGGCTTTTCTGTAAAATGAGGCCCAAGAAACCCTTTTACCCCAAGACCCTTTCAGGCCGGCCCCTGGATGCTGGCTTTCCTGTGAGAGGGTCCTTCTGCCTCCTGCTGTGGTCCTAGTGCAGCTCCCAGCCCGGGAGCCGTCTGCCTGTGTGGGAGTTGAACGCTGGCTGTCCCGGTGGCACAGCCTAAGGAGAGGAGGCTTTTTTTTTTCCACAGGAAGTTTCAAACACGTGAAAACAAACTTTGGATGCTCTCTCCTCAGTGTGTGACATGGTGTATATAATACTGAAATATTGAACATAAATTGTTAGTTCTCTGTTGTTATAGGAGCTTCCCATATTCATTTTGAAATGAACATTCTAGCAGGTAATAACTATTTTGCATAATTTCAGTGTGTGATTATACCTGTAAGAGCACATCAGGATGATTTGTCTTTCTGTGAATTCCAGAATTACAAACGCCATATGGACGGCATGTACGGGCCCCCAGCCAAGCGCCACGAGGGCGACATGTACAACATGCAGTACAGCAGCCAGCAGCAGGAGATGTACAACCAGTATGGAGGCTCCTACTCGGGCCCGGACCGCAGGCCCATCCAGGGCCAGTACCCGTATCCCTACAGCAGGGAGAGGATGCAGGGCCCGGGGCAGATCCAGACACACGGAATCCCGCCTCAGATGATGGGCGGCCCGCTGCAGTCGTCCTCCAGTGAGGGGCCTCAGCAGAATATGTGGGCAGCACGCAATGATATGCCTTATCCCTACCAGAACAGGCAGGGCCCTGGCGGCCCTACACAGGCGCCCCCTTACCCAGGCATGAACCGCACAGACGATATGATGGTACCCGATCAGAGGATAAATCATGAGAGCCAGTGGCCTTCTCACGTCAGCCAGCGTCAGCCTTATATGTCGTCCTCAGCCTCCATGCAGCCCATCACACGCCCACCACAGCCGTCCTACCAGACGCCACCGTCACTGCCAAATCACATCTCCAGGGCGCCCAGCCCAGCGTCCTTCCAGCGCTCCCTGGAGAACCGCATGTCTCCAAGCAAGTCTCCTTTTCTGCCGTCTATGAAGATGCAGAAGGTCATGCCCACGGTCCCCACATCCCAGGTCACCGGGCCACCACCCCAACCACCCCCAATCAGAAGGGAGATCACCTTTCCTCCTGGCTCAGTAGAAGCATCACAACCAGTCTTGAAACAAAGGCGAAAGATTACCTCCAAAGATATCGGTAAGAATTCCAAAGCTTTCATTCTGAAATGAATTCCAGTTGCAGTGTAGAATTTTAATTTTAGTAAAGATGCTGTTCCTGCTCATCTTAAAGGGATGAAAAAATTATGACTAGAAGTTATCAAGATGCGTTTTTATATAGGAGTAATATAGTTGGAGGCTGCTAATCTGAATTAAGAAATAGTGCCAGAAAGATTGGCCGGGCGCGGTGGCTCATGCCTGTAATACCAGCACTTTGGGAGGCCCAGGCGGGTGGATCACGAGGTCACGAGATCGAGACCATCCTGGATAACACGGTGAAATAAAATGGTAGTTTTACGTGTGAATGTTATTTGTGTGAAAGATTAGAGCTTCAAGTAAGAGATCAGGGAATCCTGAGTGGTTATATGCTGTATTTTGGGCTTAAAGATTTGAACTTAACCAAGCCACTTAATCACTACAATACGTGCCTAACAGACCCCCCCATGAGGCTAATGAAATGCTAAAGGTGACCTGAGAAAATCTGAAGGCAAGCCACTCTGTAATTTGGTGACAACATACAGTGAATTTCCGTGGGAAAAAGTTAAAGCTTGTATGTAATATGTAGATTGATAGATGGTATGACATAAAGAATATGCTATGCTGTGATACATAGAACTGATATCATCCAATGCACTGGTAGACTTGGGCCAAGAACCATGTCAATCGAATGCTGATGTTGCTTGTTTATCCTCTGTGGGATGTTCTGAATACTAATCAGAGGTCTGGACTATCTGGAAGTACACACAGGGTTTCTGCATTATTTTTGAAGTACTTTTAACACAGGAAGGAAGATAATAGATCTGAGTTATATTAGGAAAAATTACTCAAAAAATATCAAGAACAAATTGACTTAAAATCTTTTTCAGTGATTAGAAAATTAAAGATATTAATAATTTGAAAGACATCAATCACTGGACATTAAGGAGATGTAGATTGAGAGACCAGGGCAGGAGAATCACTTGAACTCAGGAATTCGAGACCACCCTTGGACAACCTAGCAAAACCTCGTCTCTACTAAAAAGAAAAAAAATTAGCCAAAAGTGAGATTCATTTCTGTAGTCCCAGCTATTCAGGAGGCTGAGGTAGGAGGATCACTTGAGCCCAGGAGATCAAGGCTTCAGCAGTGACTGTGCCACTGTATACACACACACACACACACATATTCCTTTATATATATCTATCCATTTATATATAATGCATGTGTATCTATATCCCTTTATATATATATATAGATAGATATAAATATAGATATATAGATATATATAGAATATGTGTGTGTGTGTATTTATATGGGGTTGCAGAGGGAGAGAAGGAGACACAGACACTGAGCACCATTTTATATATAGAAATATATACACACACACACACGTGTATTGTGTGTTTATGTGTGTATATGTATGTTTAAATAAATACATCTAAATTTTCTAAAAATCTCCCAGTGCGGGTTATATAGCATTTGTCTTCAACCTAGGGAAATTTACATGTTTATTTTTAAAAGTAATTTTGATTTTTTTATTGTAAAAACAGTATGTAGCTATCTTAGAAAATTTTAAAACAGATAAAATAAAAGTGGAAAAGCCACGGTGTCTCCCCCTCATGCAATGATTCTTGGTGCCTGGAGAATGCCCCCAGCCTCCAGGCAGCTCCAGGGATCTGGCCGAGCTGGGTCTCATGGCAAATCTTCCAAACTTTCTACCTGATCATTTTGTTTCCTTCAGTAGCAGGAATAGGGAAAACAACAAATTACTTCCCATTCTGTGGCTCCAGCCATACTCCTGAGAAATCTGAGCCATCAAAGTGCTAATATTTATCACAGCATGTTCTGAGGGCAGGAGCACAGGACTAGAGGAAAGCAGCCTGGGAAGCCAAGGCCGTGTGTCTGAGGAGGCTGTCTTGGAGTTAAATTTTGCTTCCATGTTCTGCATACTTGGCGGCCTTCCAGGACGCCACCTTGAGACACTCGTGAGTGGTGAAGCCAAAAGAAGACAAATACCACTTTTGGGTTTGACTCATTTATTAAAAGCTCTGATACCACATTGCAGACTCTGTAGGGTGGCTGAAAGAAATAACCCGGCCATGAGAAAGGACCATCTGTGCTCAACCACTCCACCTCCAGAAGCACTTTCGGCCCCTGCGTGACCAACAAAGCGAGATCTGAAACCACAAAAGTTTCTCGTTACAGCTATGGCCTCCATTTAAAATCGGAAATGATCACGCTTAACTGTCCTTGAGAGCATTTGTTTAAAGTCAATATTTAACTTAACACTCCACTTATTTTTTCTTACTCTTTCGTTAACTTTCGTTCTTTCATGCATAGAGTCAACATTCATGATATCCTTGTTCTTCCCCATCTTCAGTTACTCCTGAGGCGTGGCGTGTGATGATGTCCCTTAAATCAGGTCTTTTGGCTGAGAGTACGTGGGCTTTGGACACTATTAATATTCTTCTGTATGATGACAGCACTGTTGCTACTTTCAATCTCTCCCAGGTAAGCCAGCATAGTCCAACTAACAACCAAATTAGGATAGGAGAGCATCAGGCCATGCACATTTGTGCTTGAACTAATGCCTGAGTTGATGAGCACTGACCGTCCAACACTGTTAATCACTGCAGTTGTTATCAACCAGCCTTAATCAATGTAGAGTTATCTGGGATAATATTCACTGTAGTCTTTAGTGTGTGTACACACACATACCTCTATTTCTTATGAGAGAACAGTGACTGTGTGTGTATGTGTATATGGGATAGATGACAGTAGTAACATTAAATTGTTCAGAATGAATATTAGCTGGCCAATGGGAAGAAATCAAAATGTAACATTAAGTTGTGACTGGAGTCAGCATTGGAAACACAGTTGGTTGCAATGGGACATAACCCTGCTTTCCAGGAGGACTTGACATCTTCTTTTCATTAAAAAGATATTCAAGATTTAGAAATTTTATATTCTATACATTTATAGAATGTATAAATATATATAGAAGGAGAGAGAGCAGTTTAATGAACCCCCATGTACCTGTCAGTCAGCTAAAATAGTTATGAACTCATGGCTAAACTTACTTCTTAGTCTATGCTCTCTCATTTCTGCCTCTCTCCAGGTTATTTTGAAGCAGTCATGTAAAAGCCTACTACTTTTAATGAGCTTAAACCCCTCCTTTGTTCAGAGGTAGGCTTCAGGTAGCTTCCAGCATAATAGCTAGAAGAGAGGAGCACTGAAGTTTGGGGAAAATGCCCGAGTCCACTGGGCTATAGACTTTTAAAGAAATATTTAGAAATAAAAAATGGAAAAAGGTCATTTTCCCTATAGTATACAAACAACTCTCTACTTTGAGTGCAAAAACTAAAACACTTAATTTCCTTGCTTCTAAGGAAATAAGACCAGAATCTTCTACTTCTTTCTTCTCTCATTTAAGCCCTCATTATCAGCCTAGAAAGGCAATTTTTCAATTGCTAGAAAGTTTATTAATAAGGTCATAAACATTGTACGAGTTCTGTGTTAACAGAAAATAAGTATTTAAAAACTGTATACTGCATTTGCTAGAGTAATGCGCTTTCATCCTTATGTTAGGTGAACTGTTGTTGATCACATATTTGCATAACCAGAATTGCTTTATTAACTTTCCCTTTTCCCCTGGAAAAAAAAGGGAAAATGCCCTTGGAACATTGTGCCTTCAGCACACTAAAAGCAGTTCTTTCTAGTTGGTGCTGGGGGCTTCCCCTGACTTCTTAAAAATTGTTCCAACTCTACTTTCAAGAAACTGACAGTAGGATATGAAGGTATAGCTGATTTCCAGAACATCTACCGGGAAAGAATCCTTGTTAGAATCCTTGTTACTTACTCTTTAGAGTTCCTAAACATGGTGGGGGGTGTTGGGAGAGAGGGCAGTTGCTAATCGTGAAGTGTATTGGTTTTTTCTTGGTACAGTTGCTTAAAGGAAACCAAACTTGTTCTTGTAGTCAGTGGTTCTCTCATAGTGGTTTTTGCCTTTCAGCTAGAGTCATAAATAACTGAAATGTAAAATTGCATTTTATGAAACATTTTAATTTATTTATCATAGGCTAAATTGATTTGTTTTTAATTTTCAGTGTTCATGAGCTACCACATTGCTGAAATTATCTTCTCCAAAAGATATATAGAGAACATAAATTAGGGTGACCTATGGTACCTGAGACAAAAATAACCATAAAATCCTAAGAATAACAACCATAAAAATCCCGGCAAGCAAGTCTCAGATAAATAATAGAAGAGAACAGAGTCACTTTGGGCAAAAGAGTCTATAAAATCCATGTTCCCACTCTTCTAATAATGAGTACATTGTCTCTAAATCAGGAACAGAAAGGTAAAGAACAGCAAGGCACTCCCTCAGTGATAAGATTAGAGATATGAGAATAAAAAGTAAGTTTTCGTGTAGATAGTCTAAGCAAGGAAGCAGCAAATAAGGAACATGCTAAACATCGGTTTAGTTTATACTGTAAAATTCAGGAAGTTCGCTGGACCTGAAGGGTAGTTTATCTTTCATGGTCCAGCCAAAAAGGGAGACAAACGTGTGACAATGATGGAAAGGTATTGACGGGTCTCAGGATCTTTACCCTCCTCGGTCATATCTGATGTCATGACATTGTACCTGTTCTTTCTTTCTTCTCCTCCTCCTCCTCTCCAGTTGTCTGGATTTCTCGAACTTTTAGTCGAGTACTTTAGAAAATGCCTGATTGACATTTTTGGAATTCTTATGGAATATGAAGTGGGAGACCCCAGCCAAAAAGCACTTGATCACAACGCAGCAAGGAAGGATGACAGCCAGTCCTTGGCAGACGATTCTGGGAAAGAGGAGGAAGATGCTGAATGTATTGATGACGACGAGGAAGACGAGGAGGATGAGGAGGAAGACAGCGAGAAGACAGAAAGCGATGAAAAGAGCAGCATCGCTCTGACTGCCCCGGACGCCGCTGCAGACCCAAAGGAGAAGCCCAAGCAAGCCAGTAAGTTCGACAAGCTGCCAATAAAGATAGTCAAAAAGAACAACCTGTTTGTTGTTGACCGATCTGACAAGTTGGGGCGTGTGCAGGAGTTCAATAGTGGCCTTCTGCACTGGCAGCTCGGCGGGGGTGACACCACCGAGCACATTCAGACTCACTTTGAGAGCAAGATGGAAATTCCTCCTCGCAGGCGCCCACCTCCCCCCTTAAGCTCCGCAGGTAGAAAGAAAGAGCAAGAAGGCAAAGGCGACTCTGAAGAGCAGCAAGAGAAAAGCATCATAGCAACCATCGATGACGTCCTCTCTGCTCGGCCAGGGGCATTGCCTGAAGACGCAAACCCTGGGCCCCAGACCGAAAGCAGTAAGTTTCCCTTTGGTATCCAGCAAGCCAAAAGTCACCGGAACATCAAGCTGCTGGAGGACGAGCCCAGGAGCCGAGACGAGACTCCTCTGTGTACCATCGCGCACTGGCAGGACTCGCTGGCTAAGCGATGCATCTGTGTGTCCAATATTGTCCGTAGCTTGTCATTCGTGCCTGGCAATGATGCCGAAATGTCCAAACATCCAGGCCTGGTGCTGATCCTGGGGAAGCTGATTCTTCTTCACCACGAGCATCCAGAGAGAAAGCGAGCACCGCAGACCTATGAGAAAGAGGAGGATGAGGACAAGGGGGTGGCCTGCAGCAAAGATGAGTGGTGGTGGGACTGCCTCGAGGTCTTGAGGGATAACACGTTGGTCACGTTGGCCAACATTTCCGGGCAGCTAGACTTGTCTGCTTACACGGAAAGCATCTGCTTGCCAATTTTGGATGGCTTGCTGCACTGGATGGTGTGCCCGTCTGCAGAGGCACAAGATCCCTTTCCAACTGTGGGACCCAACTCGGTCCTGTCGCCTCAGAGACTTGTGCTGGAGACCCTCTGTAAACTCAGTATCCAGGACAATAATGTGGACCTGATCTTGGCCACTCCTCCATTTAGTCGTCAGGAGAAATTCTATGCTACATTAGTTAGGTACGTTGGGGATCGCAAAAACCCAGTCTGTCGAGAAATGTCCATGGCGCTTTTATCGAACCTTGCCCAAGGGGACGCACTAGCAGCAAGGGCCATAGCTGTGCAGAAAGGAAGCATTGGAAACTTGATAAGCTTCCTAGAGGATGGGGTCACGATGGCCCAGTACCAGCAGAGCCAGCACAACCTCATGCACATGCAGCCCCCGCCCCTGGAACCACCTAGCGTAGACATGATGTGCAGGGCGGCCAAGGCTTTGCTAGCCATGGCCAGAGTGGACGAAAACCGCTCGGAATTCCTTTTGCACGAGGGCCGGTTGCTGGATATCTCGATATCAGCTGTCCTGAACTCTCTGGTTGCATCTGTCATCTGTGATGTACTGTTTCAGATTGGGCAGTTATGACATAAGTGAGAAGGCAAGCATGTGTGAGTGAAGATTAGAGGGTCACATATAACTGGCTGTTTTCTGTTCTTGTTTATCCAGCGTAGGAAGAAGGAAAAGAAAATCTTTGCTCCTCTGCCCCATTCACTATTTACCAATTGGGAATTAAAGAAATAATTAATTTGAACAGTTATGAAATTAATATTTGCTGTCTGTGTGTATAAGTACATCCTTTGGGGTTTTTTTTTTCTCTTTTTTTTAACCAAAGTTGCTGTCTAGTGCATTCAAAGGTCACTTTTTGTTCTTCACAGATCTTTTTAATGTTCTTTCCCATGTTGTATTGCATTTTTGGGGGAAGCAAATTGACTTTAAAGAAAAAAGTTGTGGCAAAAGATGCTAAGATGCGAAAATTTCACCACACTGAGTCAAAAAGGTGAAAAATTATCCATTTCCTATGCGTTTTACTCCTCAGAGAATGAAAAAAACTGCATCCCATCACCCAAAGTTCTGTGCAATAGAAATTTCTACAGATACAGGTATAGGGGCTCAAGGAGGTATGTCGGTCAGTAGTCAAAACTATGAAATGATACTGGTTTCTCCACAGGAATATGGTTCCATTAGGCTGGGAGCAAAAACAATGTTTTTTAAGATTGAGAATACATACCTGACAACGATCCGGAAACTGCTCCTCACCACTCCCGTCATGCCTGCTGTCGGCGTTTGACCTTCCACGTGACAGTTCTTCACAATTCCTTTCATCATTTTTTAAATATTTTTTTTACTGCCTATGGGCTGTGATGTATATAGAAGTTGTACATTAAACATACCCTCATTTTTTTCTTTTCTTTTTTTTTTTTTTTTTTAGTACAAAGTTTTAGTTTCTTTTTCATGATGTGGTAACTACGAAGTGATGGTAGATTTAAATAATTTTTTATTTTTATTTTATATATTTTTTCATTAGGGCCATATCTCCAAAAAAAGAAAGAAAAAATACAAAAAACAAAAACAAAAAAAAAAGAGGGTAATGTACAAGTTTCTGTATGTATAAAGTCATGCTCGATTTCAGGAGAGCAGCTGATCACAATTTGCTTCATGAATCAAGGTGTGGAAATGGTTATATATGGATTGATTTAGAAAATGGTTACCAGTACAGTCAAAAAAGAGAAAATGAAAAAAATACAACTAAAAGGAAGAAACACAACTTCAAAGATTTTTCAGTGATGAGAATCCACATTTGTATTTCAAGATAATGTAGTTTAAAAAAAAAAAAAAGAAAAAAACTTGATGTAAATTCCTCCTTTTCCTCTGGCTTAATGAATATCATTTATTCAGTATAAAATCTTTATATGTTCCACATGTTAAGAATAAATGTACATTAAATCTTGTTAAGCACTGTGATGGGTGTTCTTGAATACTGTTCTAGTTTCCTTAAAGTGGTTTCCTAGTAATCAAGTTATTTACAAGAAATAGGGGAATGCAGCAGTGTATTCACATTATAAAACCCTACATTTGGAAGAGACCTTTAGGGGTTACCTACTTTAGAGTGGGGAGCAACAGTTTGATTTTCTCAAATTACTTAGCTAATTAGTCTTTCTTTGAAGCAATTAACTCTAACGACATTGAGGTATGATCATTTTCAGTATTTATGGGAGGTGGCTGCTGACCCACTTGAGGTGAGATCTCAGAAGCTTAACTGGCCTGAAAATGTAACATTCTGCCTTTTACTAACTCCATCTTAGTTTAATCAAAGTTCAATCTATTCCTTGTTTCTTCTGTGTGCCTCAGAGTTATTTTGCATTTAGTTTACTCCACCGTGTATAATATTTATACTGTGCAATGTTAAAAAAGAATCTGTTATATTGTATGTGGTGTACATAGTGCAAAGTGATGATTTCTATTTCAGGGCATATTATGGTTCTCATATTCCTTCCTACCTGGTGCACAGTAGCTTTTTAATACTAGTCACTTCTAATTTAAACTTTCTCTTCCTGGGTCATTGACTGTTACTGTGTAATAATCGATTTCTTTGAAACTGCTGCATAATTATGCTGTTAGTGGACCTCTACCTCTTCTCTTCCCTCTCCCAATCACAGTATACTCAGAATCCCCAGCCCCTCGCATACATTGTGTCGGTTCACATTACTCACAGTAATATATGGAAGAGTTAGACAAGAACATGCAGTTACAGTCATTGTGAGACGTGACTCTCCAGTGTCACGAGGAAAAAAATCATCTTTTCTGCAAACAGTCTCTCATCTGTCAACTCCCACATTACTGAGTCAAACAGTCTTCTTACATAACAATGCAACCAAATATATGTTGAATTAAAGACCCATTTATAATTCTGCTTTAAATACATCTGCTTGCTAAGAACAGATTTCAGTGCTCCAAGCTTCAAATATGGAGATTTGTAAGAGGGAATTCAATATTATTCTAATTTCTCTCTTACAGAGTACAAATAAAAGGTGTATACAAACTCCGAACATATCCAGTATTCCAATTCCTTTGTCAATCAGAAGAGTAAAATAATTAACAAAAGACTGTTGTTATGGTTTGCATTGTAACCGATACGCAGAGTCTGACCGTTGGGCAACAAGTTTTTCTATCCTGATGCGCAACACAGTCTCTAGAGACTAATCCAGGAAGACTTTAGCCTCCTTTCCATATTCTCACCCCCGAATCAAGATTTACAGAAGCCCACGAAGAATTTACAGCCTGCTTGAGATCATCTTGCCTATAAACTGAGTTATTGCTTTGTCCTAAAAATTAGTCGGTTTTTTTTTTTCTATGAGGCTTTTCAGAAATTTACAGGATGCCCAGACTTTACATGTGTACCAAAAAAAAAAAAAAGATAAAAAATAAAGGTGCAAAGAAAGTTTAGTATTTTGGAATGGTGCTATAAAGTTGAATCTGTTGGTATTTGAGTGGATTTTTTTAATGTCACATAAGAGATACTGGGCGGCGTCTGCTCAGCAATAGCTATTCACAGTGTTTTGTTCGAGGAAGAGAATGATATAGAAGCATGTTTTACTGATGAAGGTGGCCTGTTCAAAGACTAGTTAAGCTGTTTTTTCAGAGTTATAATGAAGAATGATTTTTTTAAGGGCATATGGGCAGTCTCATACAATGTAAGCTATTAACTACCTCCTTTATGAAAAGAAGCCAGCCTTTGCCCTGAAGTCCATCCATTTAAAACTGTTGGAAATCTTTCATTTCCTATCAAACCACATGTACCTGTTCCCATGTCTGTTCACCTTTGAGGAAGCAAAGAAAGTATTATAAATGAGCCACAAATGGACAGTGCAAACAGTCCCTGTTCTTCTTGCTGAGTGTTGGTTCACTTCTTTATTTCGAGGGCCGTGGCCCAGCTGCCTGAAGTCCTGCTCAGCACCAGCCTAGAAGAACTTGGAAGTAAACTTCATGGTCAGGCAAGATTGTTAAAAACTCTGATGAATACACTTGGTAGCAGCATTTAATCTGCGAACAGGCAACATTACTCATGAATTTAACAGAGATGTGTTGAGCACATGCTATGTGCCTGGCTCTGTTCTAGGCTCTGAGGAGTCCTCAATAAACAATGACCCTGTTTCAATTATGTTCTAGTCTTCCATGTCAGACAATTATAGAAATAAACTAGTCTTCCAAATACAGTGTTTTACATTGAAAACACTCAGAACGCTCCATGTTTATGCACTGAACACTTTTTTTATTTTTCCAAAGACAGGGTTTAGCTCTGTCACCCAGGCTGGAGCACAGTGGCATGATCATAGCTCACTGCAGCCTTTAACTCATAGGTTCAAGTGATTCTCCCACCTCAGCTTCCCAAGCAGCTGGGTTTACAGGCATGTGCCACGACGCCCAGCTATTTATTTTTAAGAACTTTTTGTAGAGATGGGGTCTTGCTATGTTGCCCCAGCTGGTCTAGATCTCCTGGCCTCAGGCCACCTCTGCTTCCCAAACCTCTGGGATTACAGATATGAGCCACCATGCCTGGCTGAAAACACTCATTTTTGTTAAGAAATAAAAGTAAGATACTGGCTATTGAGGATAAGGGGGTGTGATGAGATGAGCTCTGGACTGAAAATCAAAAACACTTAAAAGGTTAAGTCTCATCTGGGGTGTGGCCTGTAGGCTCCCAACTGTGCTCTGCAGTTGTCCAAGGCCCTCCCGTTTAAGAGCTGCTCCTGCAGAGCATACAGTTCCTGGCCTGCCCAGGCTCCCGCCAGCACGCTGGTGAGTCCTGATGTGGAAGGAAAAAGCAGCAGTGGCTTGGTACCCGGTGCTCCCAGGCTCCACCATCAGCCCTTAGAAATGCAGGAACTGACTGCACCTGTACAAAGGCCGTAGTCAAGGCCTCCTGACCCCAAGCCCCACGCTGTCAGGTGCATCCACGTGCATCTCCAGGCACTGTGCTAGCGCTTCTACCCTTGCTTTCTGGTCCTGGTTTGGTTTTATGATGATCCAAGTCATGTCATCCTCTAAAGTGCCAAAGTCAAATTGCTGAGTTAATTCACTTTGGGATTTAAAATGATGAAACCCTGAGGGAAAGCTGGTGGGGCTGGAGGTGGGAGGGGCAACCGTCAAGTGTGTCCTAAACATGAGACTCATTTGTCTTCTTCCTGAATCTGATTTCAGGGACTTAAAGTTTTACCCCAGCTTTTTCCAAAGTGTATTCTAAGAAACAGAAGAGATCTCCAAAAAATCTCCTTATGTATTCTCTTGGCAATCCATAGTCCATATTGCCATATTAAAGATAGAAATCCTGCAGAAGAGACACCTGTTATAATCCAGGCATTTCCTGACTTAATTAACCTTGGAATTAAAAAAAAAAAAAAAAAAAGCAATTCCTGAAAACATGCTGCAGAGCTTTGGGAAACAACTTCATCCACCAGTGCTCATGCCTGGCCATTGCCCCGGACTGAATGCTCCTTGCATTCTTACTCCTGAAACCAAAATTAAGATGTCCTCATGGGAGGAGAGAACATGGAATCTTCTCTTGCTATCTCCACGGCCTTGAGCCAGGTACTTAAATTATTTGAACCTCAGTTTCCTTGTCTGTAATATGGGCATGACACCCATCTCAGGGGATTGGTAAGGATTAAATGAGATGATTAAAGGCCTTGTCACATGTGACCGGTGAATATTAACCCCAAACATCCATCCATCCATACATATAGACTTCTCCTTTGGCTGGTGTCCTAAAATGTGTTTCACACAAAGTCCAAGAGAATAGCTTCCCATTTTCATAACCAGTCACACAGCTTGTGTGACTCTTTGTTGCTGTTTTTGGTTTATAGTAAAACGTCCCTATGTCCATCTGACCTCTACATCCCACCACCCTTACACCCTTGAATCTGCCTGGTCTTTTAAGGGCTTCAGCTGGCGGCCACTGCCCTCCCCAGCCCGGCCCACCCTGCTTGGGTTCTGCAAAACCCCCCATGGGTTCGGCCTCCAGTTCACTCCTCAGATCCCCACATCTTTCTGATTGAGGATCCCATTCTGTTGTACCCATATTTAAAATTGCCCGTCATCTCACCAAGGCCAGCTTGATTCTGCATAATTTCTCTACCGAATGTCAGTTTTGGGTGTCCAACACCCTGCAGTGGTGGAAGATCGCACCTTTTTCGCAGACCTGGGGGAAGCAAATCTCTGGACTACAGTCACACAGTAAATTTGCTCTGCCCTACCCTGCCCTAACCTAAGAAAGTGTCTTGTAACACCTTTTAAAGGTCAGATGTGGCAGGTGGCCGACCACAGTGTTTAATTTGATACTCCTTTTCATCTGACACACAGCAGAGAGAGCCCCTCTAAAGAAAGAGCACTACGGTCTTCACGCGTAGCTGGAGATGGGCTGCAGTGCTGTGGGCTGGAGAAGTGGGATTCACGATACTCTTCACTTCCTGGTAGGCTTAAGGTCAGGTGAATCAATGAAGCTTGAGCCTTGATCTGCGTAAGTTTGGTATTTAGCTGGCCCGGGATTTGTATATTTACAAACTAGATTTTCCCCCAAGAGTTAAGGAACCGAAGCTTGGATGAAGCTTGGATGCGGCTCCTAAAGATGGTCTTCACCAAACAAAAGCGCTTCCTTCAGGCAAGAGCCACAGCATTTGTCGAGTTGCCTCCTGGTAAGTGGTGATTACTTCACATTTGGATGTTTTTTGCACTTGAAAGAATTTCATGGCTATTAGTGGTTCTTCACAGAAGCCTTGGTATGGAACATTATCACATCCATCCTCCAAAAACAGAAGCAGAGGCTGACGCCCAAAATAACATGCCGAGTTAGAACCAAGCCGAGACCAAGAATGTGTATGTACCCAAGATATTTTGCAGCTTTACACAAAATCTGGGGGAGACCAGGGACTTTTAAAACAGAAGCCGTGATGTACATTGGCCACAGTTAGAGGGAGAGAGGGGTCTTTCGTTAATTCTTCATTCTAGAGATTTAATGTCATATGCTCAGTTTATGTCTGTGCCTATATTAAAATGATACTGTTTCACCCAAAATCGGGATGGTCCTGGCAGCACTCTGTCTTTGCATAGCAGGCTCTGCCAAGGTTCTCCTTCCTGCTGTCATCCTCGTAATCCTCCAGAGCTTCCCTGCATGTTTTGAGGAATAAATGTCATTATCATCCCTCCCTGGTGTAAGCAGCTCCTGTTACAGGGCTCACACCTGCACCACCTCTTTGGGCCTCCCTTATTCTAATGCCCAAGGCTTGTGTGAACTCCTATGAGCAACTCAAGTTTGAGTCCGTATTCGACACACCTACTCTCTTGAGTAAAATTCCTAAAGCATGTCAGACACATTTTCTGCTCACCACGATCTTCAAATACACCACAGAACTTTTATTGAAATTGTGGTTTCTTCAAAAAATGATCTGGGCCCATGGGCTTTCATAAATGATATTTTATGCTGGACATGGTGGCTCATGCCTATAATCCCAACATGGTGGGAGGCTGAGACAGGAGGATCACTTGAGGCCACAAGTTCATGACCAGCCTGAGCAACATAGTAAGATGTCTCTCCAAAAAAAATAAAATAAATTAACCAGGCATGGTGGCACACACCTGTAGTCCCAGCTACTTGGGAGGCTGAGGCAGGAGAATTAGTTGTGCCTAGGAGTTCAAGGCTGCAGTGAGCTATGATTGCACCATTGCACTCCAGCCTGTGCAACAGAGCAAGACCCTATCTCAGAAAAATAATAATGGGCAGGGCGCAGTGGCTCATGCCTGTAATCCCAGCACTTTGGGAGGTCAAGGTGGGCAGATCACTTGAGGTCAGGAGTTCAAGACCAGCCTGACCAACATGGTAAAACCCCTTCTGTATTAAAAATACAAAAATTAGCCAGGTGTGGTAGCATGCACCTATAATCCCAGCTACTCATCAGGCTGAGGCAGGAGACTCTGGAACCCAGGAGGCAGAGGTTGCAGTGAGCCAAGATCGAGCCACTGCACTCCAGCCTGGGCAACAGAGCGAGACTCTGTCTAAAGAAATTTTTTTTGAATTAAAATAAATGATGCTTTATGATAAATTAGAATTGTGCTGCTGTCAGCATTAACCAAACCCTGGCCACCTTAAAGCTGAAATTCATAGTCATCCAGGGAGTGGGCCTGTCCCGCAGGAATTGGTGTAACATTCCGCTCTGGGTTTAGTTAGGTCTTGGAAGCTTCGCTGACTTGGGGCTACTATTCCACTTAATAAATGGCCTCTAGAACCCCTATTGGACAACGCTCAGGGTTCTGATTCAATATTTTCTTCCATGTTTCAGTTTTCATTCATCCATTGAGACTTAGAAGAAGACACTTGAGGAATGACAAGTGACAAAGGACATTTGGGGAGGACACTAGTTGCTTAGGTTTGGCTCATGGCTATAAAAATTCAGGTCTCATAAGACAGCTTATTTGTTCCTATGGGGGGAAAGTGACGTGGTATATCTTACACATTTAAGATGAATACACTTAGCATGATTTTTTAAAATTACCCATAAGTGCAATGGTTGTTTTGTTGGTTCAGTGTGTTTTTCACCAAATGGTGTGAACATATGGCCAGAGCTTCTCTTGGCCATAAGATCTGAAGGGAGAAGAGTCCCCATGGCAAAGAGCCATAGTGATTTATCCAGATGAGTTTCAATTCCAAAGGGGAGCTTAGAGTGAAGGCCTCTCCTAGCCAACTTTTCACACGCAATCCCCTCTCCCCACATTTAACATTCAACTTCTGCTGTGTGGGTAATAGGAGATTGGAATGCATCTGGGAAAACGAAAAATGGGTTTTGTTAATGAGTGGAAGTTCATCTTGGTGGGCCCTGTTTTCAAATATTAAATGTGATATATTAGTTTGTGGGCTTGGATTTGATTTGAGCAATCAAATCTTGATAGGAACTGGCATCTCTTCCCACCCACCCAGAGTCTGTCTTTAGCAGCCGTTGCTGAATGGTGAGATCTGTAAGTGCCATGAATTGCTTTCAGTCTGATGCTTGAGAGGCTTGAACGGGGTATTGAACTTAGATTTTTGGAGAACACTCCTTAAAGCCTCTTGCCTGGCTTCCTTTATGGCTTTTCAGTAGTTGAAAAGTGTATTGTTTTTTATTTTCAGGATGGTGGGGAGCTCCTACCTCTTCCCCAACCCTCATCTCCCCCTCCAGCTCAGCAAAGGTACTGGGGTGAGGGGTCATTACCCCCAGAGCAGCCAAAGGGTGCAAGACCCAGCTCTGTCTTCTTAGGAGGAGTGGGTCTTTGTCAAGGGGCCCTGGTTCAGAGCCTGCTCACCTCCACACCTCTGTCTATGTCATCCCTGCAGCATGACAGTGGGCAAAGCATGAGCACAGTCTAGCATGTAATCAGCATTCAGTAAACCATCGTGCTTTTTCATTCTGAAAGCAAATAACAAGCATCATCGTGTGACTCGTGGGGCCACACACGTCAGCAGGTAAGACCCATCCATGGTGATGGCATTGCTGAGATGTGCACAGGGTGCTGTGGGAGGATCCAGGAGAGGGGGAGCCCACCCCGGCTGGGAGGGAGCAACCTGGGAAGGCTTCCTGCAGGAAGCTGCCTTTGGAGACAGAGGGCTCATCATATGGGAGAGAGACAGTTGGAAGAGATCCCTGGGCATTCTGGAATCTCGAAACGTAAGAGTTCAGTTGTGGGTTTTGAAAGGTTCTGAGGGAGGAGTTGGGGCGGGTGCCCCGCGTCTCTCCTGAGAAGCTGGCCTTGGCGAGATGCCGGGCAATTTTAAATATGGGTACAACAGAATGGGATCCTCAATCAGAAAGATGCAGGGATCTGAGGAGTGAACTGGAGACCGAACCCACTGGGGGTTTTGCAAAACCCAAGCAGGGTGGGCCGGGCTGGGGAGGGCAGTGGCCGCCAGCTGAAGCCCTTAAAAGACCAGACAGATTCAAGGGTGTGAGGGTGGTGGGATGTAGAGGTCAGGTGGACATAGGGACAAAAGGGAACGGGGGGTCCTGGCGCCGGTCACTGAAAGTGGTGCTGCTAGTCACAGAGAGGCCAGATCCGAGGAAGGCCTGGGCTGGGCAGCCAGCCTCGGGGAGGGGGTTTGTCTGGCAGGATTAGGGCCCGGAGGCGTCCAGAACCTCTGAAGGCGCTGAGCTGGTGGCAGAGGGAAGCTGAGGTTGCTCACCAGCGGGCCTTTGGGAAAGCAGTGGATCCCCTGCTATCCACGTGGGCAAAAAAGTACCCCAAGGGTCTTTGGGAAGCGGAAGACAGAGGCGGAAGAGGCGGCTCAGAGAGACGACACTGCACAGCGAGGGCCAGAGAGGCCACAGGAAGGTTCATGGCCAAGAAACCAGGAAAGGCAAGGAAACAGGCTGTACCCTAGAGCCCTGGGGGGAGTGCAGCTCTGCCCCACCGTGATGCTAGCCCGGGAGGCCTGTGCCTGACTTGAAGCCACCAGAACTGTAAGCTCGTCCACCTGTGTTGTTTTAAGTCACCAAATTTGTGGTGATTTGTTGCAGAAGCAACAGGACACTGATAGAGGGGCTTTTTGAGTCTGTGGTGCTTATAGGATGTCCGAGGAGAACCGGTGAGGGAGCGGCTGATTGCAGGGGTCTGGGCTCAGCAGGTGGAGAGGGTTGGTGTCATCTCCATAGAGGTGGGGAGTGCGGGGTGAGTGGAGACCTGAGGGTGGGAGCAGATTGCCAGCAAGAGCGTGGAAGGGGCGGGCTGGAAAGAGGAGGCAAGAAGGACAGGACGGAGAGGGCGGGTGGGGCACTGGGAGAGGCCAGGGAGCCCATGTTGGCACCAAGAGCCAAAGGCTTCCAGGAGATGCTGCCACAGGGCCCAGGCTGCAGGACAGGCCCAGATGGCAGCAGAGGGTTCCCTCGATTCTGCAATGGGAGCTCATGGACCATGCAGATGACAGGGCCAGCGTTGGGTGGAGGGGGGGGTGGCTGTGCAGATGACAGGGCCAGCGTCGGGGGTTGCTGCCCTTGCCCACCTTCAGGGCCTGCTATGAAAGGCTGCTCCATGGACACGCCCTTTGAGATGCTTCTCAGGACAGGGGCTCAGGATCCCCCGTGCCCAGCTCACTCCTGCTCGGGAAAGCCTGCCCCACCAGCGACCTTGCCTCTCCTCATGCATGAAAATCATCCTACTTTGCTCTTCACAAAAGTGTGGGTGGAGAAAACGGCCTTCAACACTCCTCAGAGCACCTCCTCGGAGCGGAAGCTGCTTCCTGGGGTGTGTTTCTGTTCTGGAGGTTGCACCTTCGATCCTGAGGCGTGGGAGCTGGCCTGAGGTTGAAGGTGAGGCTGAGGACCTGGGTGAGGCTCCCCAAGGCCCCCGGCTGGGCTGAGCAAAGAACGGGAGCGTGCCCCCACCACTCACAGGGTGTCCACACCTGGAGAAGGAAACCACAGGCTTTGTCACCTTTGTCTTAAGTCAGTGGGACAAACCTAGAAAGTGAGGCATTTTGGACAGCTCCAAGGTGGCTGTGTCCTGGCCTGCCCAGACCGAGGGCCCCGGGATTCTGGAGGCGCAGATTGGATCCCAGGATGCATGACTAGTGACTCCTAAGGTGGGAACCCCTGGGTGAGCGAGGAGTGGGAGGCCGGTGCACATCCACCTTCTGTCCCGGCCTCCTCTTCCGCCGGTCCTGTATTTCTCTCGAAGTCTCATCCCGGCCATCAGAGCCTCAAGACTTCTCAAGCTCCTGGCACATTCTGAGGTAAGCACCTAGGTTGATGGTGGCCTTCTCTCCACACACAGCACAGCCACGCTGGGGAGTGGGGGCCGGTGAATGGCCTGGGGACAGGCCACAAGCAGGCCTAGGTGGGGGTGCCCTGGCCTGCTGTCCCCTCCACCCCTGTCCTGGGAGCCTGTCTGCACCAGCACAGAAAGAATATCACGGCTGTCACCCACAGGGCCTAGCAGCCGGGTTTTTCTCACCAAGAGCTCGTGTGGAGAGGGACGCAACATGTTTCCCTTTTATGAGGCTGCTCCCTGTCCCCAAAGGTGGGGCTGACGGGTGTTCCTGGGAAATGAGAGCCTGCCCTGCCCTTTCCCCGGGGCTCCCTCGTCCATGCTCAGCCTCCCAGAAGCCCCTCCTGCTGAGTTGCCCACAGCCCTCCCTGCCGGCCTGGCCTCTCCTTGCAGCTCTTCCTCTTCTCATGAAGGTGTGTGGAGGTTGGGGTTTGCGCTCTCTCTTCCTTGATTAACCTTGCCAGAGGCTTGTCTGTTGCAGAGAACCCGCTCTCAGTGTCATTGATACCACTCGCTCTGAGTCATGAATTTCTCAGCTTACCCTTTCTTCTCCTTCCCTCTAGTTTAGTTTGTTCTTTACTATCCTGCTTCTTAATTACAACATTTATTTTCATTTCTGTTGAATTTTGTAAAACACATTCCAGTTATCAGTTTTCCCCAGGGAACAGTGGCTCACGTCTGTAATCTCAGCTCTTTGGGAGGCTGAGGCAGGAGGATCACTTGAGCCCAGGAATTCCAGAACAGCCTGAGCAATATAGTGAGACCCCCATCTTCACAAATAATTTAAAACTTAGCTGAGCATGGCGGCGTGTGCCTGTAGTTCCAGCTGCTCAGGAGGATGGGACGGGAGGATCGCTTAAGCCCAAGCAGTGGAAGCTGCAGTGAGCAGTGATGGCACCGTTGCACTCCAACCTGGGTGACCGAGTGAGACCCTGTCTCAAAAACAAGACAAAAAAAATACCAGTTTTCTTCTCAGAACATTCCTATGCCATGACTGTTGTTTTATAAAAACCCACAATGGCTGTGTTCTTTTCCTCTCCTACTCATGATTTTTTTTGGAGGCTCTTTTAGTTTGAAATAGGTTTTATTTTTCCCTGTTTTTCCTTGTACTATTGAATTTTAGTTTTATTGCATTATTATCACAACATGGCTTATATAATTTCTATATTTGATCACTTTTCATCTCTTATTTCTTCCATCATTACTTCTCTGCTCACGCTTGCCTTCTGGAATCTCCAGGAATACCCAACAGATATTTTGCGTTCTTGCCTTTTTCTTGTCTTGTTATTTATTATTTTCGCCTCTTTATCTTTTCTTCTGGGTGCTCAGAGAATTTCTAGAGTCATTAGTTTAGCTATCTGTTATATCCAATATGCTGTTCATGGCTTCTGTTGAGCTGAAAAACCAATGAGTAATTAATGTTTTACTTCTAAAAACAATATTTTTTATTTATATATTTGTGCATATCTTGGTATAAAACAATATTTTAAAGTCTCAAATTGTTCTCTTCTACTTTTAGAGACAGGGTCTCTCTCTGTCACTCAGGCTGTAGTGCAGTGGGGTGTGGGTATTGGGTGGGCACAGTCATGGCTCACTGCAGCCTCAAACTCCTTCCTGGGCTCAAGCCATCCTCCTGCCTCAGTCTCCCAAAGTGCTGAGATTACAGGCTTGAGCCACTGCACCTGGCCCGGTTCCTTTTTCACAGAAGCAATTTTCTCCCAAGTTTCCTTTAGAATAGAGTTTTCTTCTGTTTCTTGGAGAACATCAATTTCACAGGAAAATAGTTGCTGGAATTCCTCACATAAGCCCCCTTATTTTACATTTCTGGATCTTTTATACGTTCAATTATTTTTCTCCATAATCTATTGGATTTGAGATGGATTTTTTTGGAAATTGTGTTGAAATATTTCAGTCTCACACAAAGGAGTAAAGAGAAACTGAAGGGACCCCGCACCTCCAGAGTCCCTTCGGTTTGCCCCCTTCCCGCCCCTGGCCGGCTCCTGGCCACAAGTGGCTGCACCTCCACAGCCTGAGGTAGGACACGACGTCCCCGCTCTTCTGTTTCTTTTGGAATTTGCTGGAGCTTTTGTCACCTAGAACATGGCCAGGTTTTTATTATGAAAAAATACATCTAATACCTTTTTTAAAACATTTTATTTTGCAATGATTGTAGACTCACAGTAAGTTGCAAAAATAGCACGGAGGTGCCCCATGTGCCGTTCCCGGTTTCTCCGGTTTCTCCGGTTTCTCCGGTGCTGTGTGCGAACCAGAGGGCGGTGTGGCGACCAGGAAGCGGGGCCAGCATAGTGCGCGTGCGCAGAAACAGCCCCGCGGCGCCGGCAGCCGTTCTCCCTTTCCTAGACGGCAGGGGCCGATTCAGCCTGGGCGGGCGTGCTGCCCTCGTGTTGCTGCCATCACGGGGACTCTGAAGATGACTCCTCCATGACTAGACAATGAGAGTTTATACCAGGGCCCCTGGTTCTCTGTCCTCACAGGCCTCTCCCTGCTCACTTCACCACACACTCACACGTGCACACTCAGACACACGTACACGCGCGCGCACACACACACATACACACTTTCACACACACAGGTGCGTGCACACACATATACACTTACAGCCATGCACACACACGTACACACACTCATACACACGCTCAGTCACACATACTTCCACACAGTCATGCACACACACGTACACATACACTTAAGCTCAGTCACAGTCACGCACACTCTCGCATTCATGTGCACACACGTGCACATACGTACACATACACACACGCTGGGCCAGGGCTTGTCCCTGGAGCCAGGCGCCCGCAGTCCCCCCAGCCCTGGGAGCCCGGGCATCCTCACTGCCTCCCTGCTGCCTGCAGTCTCAGGTCCCCAGGGCTGTGCTCAAGGGTGGCCTCTGTCCTCTGCCGGTCTTAGCCCCAGCAGCCCTGTGGGTCTCTTCCTGGGAGGCCTCCTGCCCCGTGTTGCATGGTTGCATGGTGTGGGGATGTAGGTGTGTGGGTTTTGGAGGGTGTGGGCCCTGCAAGCTCAGTGGAGTACAGCGAAAGTTCCGGAGACTTTTCCCTCTAGATAGGGGGACCAACTGGTCCCAGCTTTCCTGGGACTTCCCTCGTTTTGGCCCTGAAAGTCCCACATCCCTGGAAGTCCTGGGTCACCCTCCCCTTGCCCTCCTAGGACCCTCTGGCCTCGTTCCTGAGTCAAGGAAGGGCCGCCCTGCGGGTGTCCCCAGCCAAGGGCTCTGCTGCAATGCGTCCACCCCCTCTGTGGCTAGAGGAATCTGTTGGCGTCCCACTGGTGATTGGTGATGTCCCCTCACTCCCAGCCCTGTGGCCCCAACCTGGGCTGCCCAGGCTCTCCTGCCTGCCGTCCACCTCTCCCGCTGCCAAACGTGCTCTTCCCTGCCTTTCCACGTTCTCATCACAGTCGCACACTCTTTTGCCGGTTGGCAGGGCTGGAGAGAGTGGGCTGGAGTCACTCTGACCTGGCCTCTTGGGTCACTGTCCTCATCTCAGGCAGGGTTGTCCCAGCGGCTCTCACATGACTCTATGGCTTTGCCCACCTTAGAGAGTGGTTCACACGGTGGTTGCCCCCACCTGGCCCTGGCCTGGTTCCTCTTGTCGTTTCTTCAAGATGAGCCTCCTCCCAGCCCTCCTGGGTGGCTCCTGCCATGTGGGGCCCAGTTCTCTTGCTCCTTTTCCTCAATAGAGAAAACAGTCAGAAGCCGTGTTCTGTGTATATGGCATAGGTCACATCCCTTGTCCACCCAGACCCCAGCTGTGAGGGCAGGGCCTTTGCCCAGCTCGGAGCTGGGGTGGGGCTGGGCCCCTGGAAGGCAAAGCACATAGCAGTGGGAAGGTGAAGACCCTCCAGGAAAACAGCTGCCCGCGCTTGTGGGTGTGTTTTCTCCTTAGCTTACTGGGCATCGATTGATTTTACTGTTAAGGAGAGAAGGCAGTGTTTCCCCTTTCCTCAGTGACATTGTGGGGCCATTTATGAGCTGTGGTTTTCCTGCCTGCCTTTTTGGGAGGGAGTGGCTCTGTCTGCCCCAGTGCAAGGCAGCTTGGGGAACACAGATGAGTCGCCAGGGAGGACTCCTTGAAGGGCAGTGGTGAGGCAGGAGGACCGCCCAGGGGCCCTCCAGGTGACGAGCAGCTCCTGATTGGTCTGAGGAGGCCCCTATGCATCGCTCTCTGGTCCGTGGAGCGAAGCGACAGCTGCAACCTTTGTGCAGAAAACACAGAGAATCCCGCTGGTGTCACAGGGCCGGGGATCTTTAGTACTCATGGGCACCGAAACAGCCCAAATGCCCTGGGGGCAGGCAAACCCCCAGAGCTGATTTGGAAGGAGGTCTCCCCCAGTACCAGAGGAAAGCGCTGGGCACCCCCCCCCCGCGTGGTGGCAGTGGACTGTGACTGCTGGTGCCCCTCCGTGTCACTCCCTCTGGTCCCCCGCAAGCTCTTGGCACTCATGTCCAGGAGGCTCCCATTGCTCAGCGGATGTTGAGGGAGCACTTTGTACTAAAAGCGTGCTGGGGCAAAACGACTTCTTGATCTCTTCATGTTTTAGGCAGCTCCTCCCGTTATGGGCCCCAAGAGCGCTGCTACCTCCCAAGGGAACACAGAGAAGGTGGCTGGCGTCTGTCCTGCGCAGCGAACGGTGGTCCGGGGATGCTCCTGGACGGGGTGGAGCAGATGGATGACAGAGAAGTTGGGGGGCCCTGAGGAACAAGAGAAGCTGTGTTGGTGGCAGCAAAGGAAGACACCAGCCTGAAGGAGGTGCGGGACAGACAGGTGCTGGATGGAGTGCTGCGTGGGGATGAGGATGTTATTTTTGACAAAATGAAGGGGAACATTCAGGCGGTCATTAGCGAGCATGGTAATGGGCTTGTCGCTTATGCTCGGTGACAAGCTGTAGTGGCTTCTAATTTCTCCTGCACCTCCAATTACCCTTCAGGAGCAAGACCGTCCTCACGGTCAAGCCTTTCCAGCCAGCAGATCCAAGCAAGGAATAAGATCTATGCAGCTTCCATGTGTCTCTGGGAGAGAAGATTGATAAAAGCAATCAGAAATTTCCGGAATTGCCTGGAGAAGAGAAGGCCAGCGGGAGGGGAGGGGGCGAAGATGAGGAAGGAGAGGGCACAAGTTAATAACACCTGTCACGTTGCCGAGGGGATGCTGAGGGCCACAGCTGGGCTCTGTTTCGGCTTCGAGCGGAACAAAGAAGAAAGGGCAGCTGCTCCAGCAGCGAGGAGGTGGCTGGACATGAGGAAGTCTGTGGCTGACGGGCTTCGGGGAGGCCTCCAGGGAGCTGCAGTCCCTGGGGACAGCACCCCGGTGCAGGTGGCTCCGGTGGCCCCTGGGTTTGGCGCCCAGCACATTCCCTTGACACAGCATGGCTATTTAAGGCCCAGGCCAGCATCCCATCGGGTGCTTTTAGCCGCCTGCGTCTCCTGCGCCTTTGGGGCTTCTGGGGCCTTCGTGACAGCAATCACCAGGCCTTTCATCCCCGTGGCTCAGAGCATCCCCCTCAGGGGAGCGGCAGCCTTGGAGGGGGTGAGTGGGGAGGGGTGAGTGGGGAGCGGCTGAGGGGGGCCGGCGGGCCCGCTCCGTTGTCCCCTGCAGCGGCAGGCGCTGGAGAACTCGGCTGCAGTCATTAGAGCCGGGAGTTGGCGACTGTTGGGGCCTTGTGTGGGGATGAGCTGTTAGGACTTTCCTGCCTTTAAAGAACAGGGACTGGTAAAATCGTATATATGAAATCAAAGCAAAGAGGAACCTGTTTTAGAGGTGAACAAGAGAGAGCTCAGAGAAGCGCATTAGGGACATATGGCATTTGTCAATCAAACGCAGAGCAACCTTCAAAAAGCCATTAGAAGGCAGCCCCATGCCGGTTCCGCCATTTGTGCCGGCTGAGGGCTCCCCCGTCCCGCAGGCCCCACAGACGCTCTGTTTCTGGGACTAATTAGCCTTCCAGAGGGCAATCAAGGGCCTCTGCTGGAACTTTCTTAGGAACTGAGCCGTTAGATGGCTTCAAATGGACACCACTAGAAACAGGCAGGAGCCAATTAGGCAGCGGCTCCCTCCCGGGGCCCGGCCAGGCTGCAGAGCGAGCCAGGAGGCTCCAGCAGCCTCTTGGTGCTCCCTCTCTCTGACAACGCTCCTGCCTCGTTCCTCCCCACATCCCCAATCCTTGCACTGAGATCATTAACCTTCAGGGCTCCACGAGGGCAGGCATTGGGTCTGCTTTACTCGCTGCTGGGTCTTCGGAGTCTGGAAGGGTGCCTGGCACGGAGCAGGTGTTCACTCAGTGTGGCCAAATGTCTGGGTTTTGTCCCAGCGGAACGAATCACGTGGGATTTCCTTTGCGGAGCATACTTTTAACAGGCCAGCCATGTCCACTCCCGCTTGAGTTGGACACGATTTAGGCATAGGGAAAAGGGGCGTTAGTGCCGTCTTGCCACACTCGCCAGCCAGGCCCACTGGCCTCGTCCCTGAGTTTCCCAGGGGAAGTGGGTGCCAGAGACCATCCAGTGCCCCCACACCCAATGAGTCTGTCGACTGAGTGCCGCAACCAGGTCCCAGCTAGGGGCCCGCAGGCTGCCCTTGGCCTGGGACACCATTGCGTTTTCCCGCAGGACCTGCCCACCGCTGACCTACCGCATCCGCTGCTGGCCTCCACCTGCTAGCCCAGGCCAGGGCCCAGGGTGTGGGTGCTGGACACGTCGAGGGGCACAGGGAGCCAAGACTGCCTCATCCAAGCCCCAGAGCCTGCAGCTAACAAGCTAACAGGGAGACGGTATGTAGCAAACAGTCACACAAATAGTTCTTTCCCTCACTCCTTGTGTCCTCCTATTCACCCTCCCTTCTTTGTCCTTTTCTTAAAATTAGAAGCTAAAAATATGTCCATTGTAGAAACTTAGAACAGTACAAGAGCATAGAGAAACAAAGTTAAAAATATCAGTTACCTGTAATTCTGGCATCCAGAAATATCCACTTTAATAAGGTGTTCAATTTTGTAAGCAAACTTTAAATTTTATTATATCCTAAGCCTCTTCATGTCATTAATTTTTCTAAAATTTGAGCCTTTGTGGCTGCCTAGGGCCCCATTTATTTCACCCATCCCCAGTTGTTGGACATTCATGTCTCTTCCACATTTTCACCCTCATAAAAAAATGCCGCCACAAACATCCCAGAAGATAAATCTTTGTCACAATCTCTAATTAATTCATTAAGATAAATTCCAGGGAGTGAAAAACAGTGTTTCAAATGGTATGACTATTTTTAAAGCTATCTGGACATGTGGCCAAGTTACACTCTTGGGAACGTCATGGAAAATCCCAGCAGAAGTCTAAGAAAGGATCTAGATCCAGCTCCTTGAACCCAGCCAGCACTGGGTTATCTTCCCGCTTTGCGAAATTTGTCCTGTTTTCATTTCCTTGTCAGCAAGATTGAATTTTTTTTTTGTATGTTCCTAACCCATCTATATTTTGTTTTCTGGAAATTTTCTATTTGTATCCTTTGTCAATATTTTTTTTACCAGACTACTAATCTTTTATGAAAGTTTATTGTTTGAATTATAATCATTAGAAATTTCTCCTTTGTCACTTTTTCCCTCCCCTCCCACCCCCACCCCCAGCCCCAGTTCTGTGTTTCAGACCTCAGTGTCTTTATCTACAAAATGAATCGCTGGGCCAAACCACCTCCTGACTCCAAAAGTCTTTTCAAGAGCTCAAGCCGGCTGTGTTCTGCCAGATATGTCTGGTATAATCCTCCCTCATCTGCAGCCCGGTTCAGGTCTCCCAGCCCTTAGCATAGCTCCAGGAAACTTGAATTCCAATGCCTGCCTGAGTTTGAGTTTCACACTTGAATAACCAAGTCAGGTTTGCTAATCAGGCTTGCAGGTGTGAGTGGGAGCTGGTCCCTCCCAGAGGAGGGTCAGGGTGTCCACACCAGGAACCTCTAAGGCTGGGCAAGGCCGAACTGCTGCAGAAATGCAAGGCATGGCCCAACCACCCCCATTTATTGGTTGAGGAAATAATTCTGTGACATGAAAGAATTTATCTCTAAATATGAAAAGGAGATTTCAGAACAATGTGAGCCATTCATGCACACACGTGCATGCACACCCACACGTGCATGCACACACACACGTGGAGACTGGGGTCGTGCACACCCACACATGGAGACTGGATCGTGCACACACACACGTGGAGACCGGGGTCATGCACACACACACGGAAACCGGATCATGCACACACATACGTGGAGACCAGGGTCATGTGCACGCACACACATATGCACACCCACACGTGGAGACTGGGGTCATGCACACATTGCACATCCACACGTGTAGACCAGGGTCATACAAACACACACGTGGAAACCAGATCATGCACACACATGTGGAGACTGGGGTCATGCACATCCACACATGGAGACTGGATCATGCACACACACACGTGGAGACCAGGGTCATGCACATACACACGTGGAAACCGGGGTCATGCACACACACACGTGGAAACCGGATCATGCACACACACGTGGAGACTGGGGTCGTGCACACCCACACATGGAGACTGGATCATGCACACACACACGTGGAGACCGGGGTCATGCACACACACATGTGGAAGCCGGATCATGCACACACACACACGCGTGGAGACTGCGGTCATGCACACACACACATGAGACCGGGGTCATGCACACACACGCACGCATGCCCACACATGGAGACCGGGGTCTGTAAGCATAGCCTTCAAAACATTAACCAGTTCCACCACTAGGAGGTGGGGTTACCCATTTTTATTTGGTTCTTTTAATTGTATTTTTCTACGACAAATGTCAATTATCCTGCAATAAGCAACACCCCTCCCCTCCTTCCTTTCAGATGTTGCTTCCAAATCAATTGCTGTGAGGCCGTTGCCTCTGAAGTTGCACTCCCACTTCTGGGCGTCGCCTCACCACATCCTCCAGGTCTTGCCTCTAGATGCCGGGGGCCAGTTCCCAGGTGTCAGAGAGTGCAAGGAGAGTCAGGGGCCATGGCAGGCCTGGACCCAGGGAGTGTGGAGGGGGCATTCTCCCAAGCTATGGGTGGGTTTATCAACACACATTATTAACAAGACCCAGAACTGGCCAAATCTTGAATTCAGCTGGTAAAATTATAAGTTAATTTTTAAAATTAGGAAAACAGAATTGGCAACACAGGGCTCATGATGTCTCGTAGATATTCCTATGTCATGACTGTTAAAATTTAAGAAAACCCAGTTTTTAGCCTCTATGGTTGGGCCTGGAAAAGGAAGAGGCGGCCATGAGGTCAGCCCCCGGCATCTGTGTGTGACAGCGTAGGACAGTGTCAGAAGACCTATGTGGGGGCTGTGGGTGGTGGCCTCTCTACTCCACACCTTGGGCTTCCCAGGGGGACAGTGGCTCTGAGTCCCCTTGGGCTCTGCCTTGCAGGGTGCCGGAGTGTCACATAAGACCAAAGGTAGCTCTGGGGTTTGATGAGCCCTGACACTGGCCTCTGTCATCAGGCTCCCTGAGTGGGGATCAAAACCGGGAGGCGGCGCCAGGCTGTGGGATTGGGAGAGCTGTGCCCAGCCCAGCACCAACTGCCCGGGTCTGTGCATGGGCCCAGAACCGAGGGTGAGGGCGCGTTCCTGGGGGATCATTCCCTGTACCCAGAGATGCCACCTCCAGAAGAGTTACCCCAGAGCCACCAGACATTTCCTGGAACTTTTCTGAGCTCCTTCTGTCCTGTGGAGTCACAGCTGCGGCCTCCCCTTCCTCCACGCATGTCTCGGTGGACATCTGGGCAACTCCGAGTCTCCACTCAGCCACATCAGGTGCATTTAACTCCCAGGCTCTCCGTGAGCATCGCGCCGGCAGCCACTTTGTTCCTGCCTCCCTGGCTGCTCGCCCACTTGTCTGGTCTCCATGGCGACGAGCACCTCTAATGGATGTGCCGAGGTCACACCCGCTGCTTCTTTGCTGAGACTTGTCACCTCCCTGCCAGTGCACGCCCCCATCTCACAGCCTCCTCTTCCCCAGATTACCCTGCACGCTGAGGGTCTAGCTTCACCTCCTAAGATGAGTTCCTCCCTGACCAACTCTCTTGTTTTCTGCTCAGTTTTAAGCATCTCAAAGATAGTTTTCTTGAAGGTTTGCTGACCTGCTTTGGACTCTAGTCTTTGGACAGTGGGGAATGGGGATGGCTGGGGTTGTTGATACGCTCTTTGGGGATGTGGGACACGGTGGTCTGGCCGGTGATGGTACTGCCGTCAGCAGCATCTGGAAGAGGCACAGGCTGTGGTGTGGGGAAGGCCGGTTTGAAACCACCACACAACAGCTTGTCAGGTGCGTTTAGCAAATAATGACTGAGCACCTGCTGTGAAGCAGGAATACACTGGGGGACCAGGCAGTCTCCTTCGCATAGCCTTCAGGCTAGTGAGCACAGGGTCATCACATTTAGCAAACAAATACAGAAGATGCCCAGTTAAATTAGCATAAGAATCAATATTCATTGTTTATCTGAAATTCAAATTTAACTGGGCATCCTGCATTTTGTCTGGCAACCCTAAGTGGGAGAGAAAGAAAACAAATAAATACAGAAATAACATCATTCCAGGATTCTGGTGTGTGCTAGGCAGAAAAGGCCAGTGTGCTATGAAAGCATCCCAAGGGGACAAGTGGATGGTTAGGGACGGCCTCGTGACATTCTGGAGCATGGGAGGAGCCAACATACACAAAGCCTAGGGGAGGACACTCCAGGCAGCTGGGGCAGCAGGTGCAGAGGCCCCGCGGTGAGGAAGAGTTTGACGCAGTCCTAGGCCAAGCAGGCAGGTGTGGCTGGGTGGAGTGGCTGGCGGGCAAGTAATGTGTAAACTTAAATTGATGACATAATCCACGCGGCCACAAGGAGTAGGTGCTCAACAAATTATAGCTTTTATGTCTGATTATTGATAATCACAATTTTAAAAGTCACACCAAATATGAATTCCAAACATTTCATGAAACACATCCTTTGGTGCACTAAACTGCTATATTTATCTTAACTTTCTATAAAGAGGCTATTTCAGTGCATACCATACTGAATATCATCATCCAGCCAAGCATAACGTATTTTGCCTGTACATTTAAAAGTACTCTTTCAAAATTAAAATGCAGGGCTGGGTGCGGTGGCTCACGCCTGTAATCCCAGCACTTTGGGAGGCCAAGGCAGGTAGATCACTTGAGGTTTGGAGTTGGAGACAAGCCTAGCCAACATGGTGAAACCCTGTCTCTACTAAATGTAAAAAAAAAAAAAAAAAAAAATTAGCCGGGCATGGTGGCGCAAGCCTGTAATCCCAGCTGGTCTACAAAGCAGGAATAATAACACCTCAGGCTCCAGGGCCATCAGGAGAAGCAGGGAAACAGTGTCTGTCAGGGTGTTTGGAGGCCCGCTGAGGGCCACGGAAAGGAAGGGTGGGGTGATTTCTGTTACTCTCAGAATTGTCCCAATTATCTCCTCTTTCTCCTAAGAGATAAGGAAGAGAGTCTGTGTCACCTACAGTGCCCACAGCTTCCAGGCAGTTCCAGAAAATCGTCTTCCAGCTTCGTTTTCCTGAGTAGCTTGCTTTCAGTCTGCAGAGTGGAGGATGGAAGATTTAACAAACTGCTCTTAAGCGTTAAAGTACAATTTAGTGCCGAGACATGTGTCTAATGGAGCTTAACGTTTGAAGGCTAAATATCAATGGCAGCGTTAAAGGGAGCTGTAATTCACCCTCCTCCCAACCGCTTTGCCCTTCTTAGGTAGTTACTAGGCCCAGGTTTACCTCTAAAGTGTGTCACACTATCCCAACACCAGTGGGGATGGGGAGGTCTGTCCCCAGCGGAACTTGCTCCCATGGCCTGTGCTGGCAGGCACTGGGCCTGGCTTCACATCTTCACTCTGTGACGCATCAGCCAGGTGCACGGCTTCCTCCTCTACACACGAGGATGGGGTGCTGCTGTCTACCCACAGGCACTGGTGCAGATTCAGTCAGATGGCACGGGGTTGACAGGCTCCACGCCTTGCCTGGACCACAGGAGACATTCAATGGCAGCCCAGGACAAGGCCAACACCAACTTTGAGGCCTTTCATGTGGCAAGGGCCCCGGGCACGCCATCATCATTGCTGAGAGTGATTGTGTGCTCACATGTGTGTGTGTCAGTGGCACGAGCTGCAATCCAGTCCCCATACCGAAGCCCCCCAACACACAGCGGATGCAGAGTCCAGAGACCCCCCCAGCTCCTGAATCTTCTCCTTCCCAGTCATGGATACCTTGAAGTCAGGCTCAGTCCTTCAGGTCGGGCTCTGATCTCTATTATCGGAGCCTAGGTGGGCACACGCTTTAGGAGGGGGCAGTGCAGGGCCCCTGCTTTGAATTCCAGGTGCAGCCACGTTACAGGGAAGTCAGCTGTGCTCGGGAAGTGTGTGACCTTATGTTTTTGCTGCACCTCAAAAGAAAACTTTACACTTTAAATTAACAGCATGTCCACTGCCAGTATTTGTGGTTACTCCCTGCAACGTAAATCTCTTTTAGAGATGTGTGAGAACAGCATACGTAATGAAACATCAACGTGAAACTTGATTTAGAGTGCCTTTTCATTAATATAACAAATGAAGTGGACCAAAAATGGAAAGTATATTCCTTTGGGCCTAATTAAAACACTGAACAAAACACATGTATGTGTATATTTTAAATGAAGACATTCAGTAGCTAGAATTAGCTACAAAAATTAATTCAAATTGAAAAGTACATTATGAGTGCATTGTTGTTATTAACATAGCCAATATGCTTCCTCTGAGATATCTCCAATAATGTGCACCTGATTTAGTGCCTGTGTGATGTGACAGGCAGGCTTTGCTTTAAAAATACCGCACACACAACAAAGTTGGCCCACCGGGGGACCTCGCAGCTGGTTTAACTGCGCTGTCTTTTGGCCAGAGGAGGATTTCCAGGCAGAGTGTAGGAGTCAGAGTGAGGATGTCCTCTCTGACTGCGGGGCTCTTATCCTCAGTCCAGCTTCTGAGGGCCTGGCCAGAGCTGGGGAAGGGGCAGGCTCTGTTGAAACGGAGAGGTGTATTGAGGGGTCAGGGCCTGGAAGGCCCAACCTGGCATCCAGGAACACGTCTCTGATGGTGGCCAGGAGATACGTGGAGGGTACCAGGGGATAGGCGTGAAGGACAGTGGCCTGAGTGGAAAGACGGTCTGATTCCACGCCGAGTTGAGGGCAGGGAGTCGGTGCAGTGTTGGCCATGACCCCTCAGCCCCAGTCCTGCAGAAGCAGGGCACTGAGGGGGCGCACACAAACTTAGGGAGGGGCCCCAGCCCAAGGCAGGATGCTGGGAGCCCACCTTCTGAAGGGTGGCAGGTGGCCCCCCCCAGTGACAATTCTGGTTGATGGCAGAAGACACCCCAGAGGCCAGGCCACCTGACAGAGAGGTCCCTCAACCATTGGGGACCGGGCTTTTTTTCTCGGCTCTGGAGCAGAACTCCTTAACCTAGCCTTTAGGGACGCAGATCGGCCTCCACACTTGGTGGGAAATGGACCCGAGGAGCCAAAGATGTGAAATAAGGGCCTGGAGAAGTTCTGGAACACGCTGAGCTCCATGCAAGGGTGGCAGGTGCCCTTCAGGGACTGCTGATGTGAGGACGCAGCTAGGAATGGAGGACGCTCTCCAAACAGGGATGGGAGGTTTGTGTTTACTGTGGGTCCACCTAGAACTCCTGGCTGGCCAGCCCTGGAACCTCAGTACTTACCTGGAAATGGAAACACCAATAGTATCTATGCTCTTGGATTGATGTGAGGATGAAATTAAATACTTCATGTGAAGTATCATTCCTCAGAGTAGTAAGAGCTGCAAAATTGTTAGTCATTATTCTTGTTACTCCACAAGTTACTGGCTCCTATTCCAGCCCCTGGGGACTGCAAGAAAGTCAAGGATCAGAACAATAACTGACATTTGTACAGGGCTCTGTAATTCACAAATCACTCTCCTTTAAACGGGCAACGACGTACGCCAATTATCATTCTGATCTTCACTGGGGAAACTGAGGCTCAGAGGGCATGTGACTTCCCCAGCATCACACAGCTATGAAGGATAGATGCAAGCTCCAATCCGAGTCCCTTGTTCCTCCTCCTGTACCTCCCACCCTGAAGGCAGGGGAGGGGGTTCCCTTGGAAGAACCCAGAGAAAGCTTTACAGAACTGTGGCCCTCTCCCTCACAGGCTGGGACAGAAGAAACGAAGCCAGGCAGGACAGGTGCAGACTGGCAGGAGTGAGCTGACCAGGGTCTCCCCTGGAACCCTTTGTTCTGATCAGCAACTGGCTTTATTCTCATGCAGTAGGAACACTGGTTTTCATGGTGATGGGAGGACCCAAGGTCCCAGGTCAAATCTCCCCATTTCTGGGTGATTTATTGGAAGATTGGCGGCTGCTACCCAAATCTTTGTATTTAATCGGATGAAGAGGCACAAAGTAAGGAATTCTTGGATCTCAAGTTGTCAGAATGGGGCCTTCTGCATTTGCTGATGCTGAGTCCCTTTCCAGGAGCACATGTCCAGGTAAGCAGACACCACCCAGCCAGGTCTTTTCCCAGGCTGGCTCCAACAAGAGGCCTTGTGTGTGTGATCAGCAGTGTTCCCTGCACCGTGTGGCTGCTAATGGTTTGGTGAAGCTAACGTTCTCCATGAACAGGCCCAAAGAGCTTCCCTTCTCCACCTGGCCCTGGTCCCAGCTTTCATCTCAGCAACATAGAAGGATTGTAACACCTGCTGCTGCCCGGTGAGTGACATCTCCCACAAGTCCAGGCTCAGGATTGGGTCCAGATGAGGGTGTGGAGGAGGCTTGCCTATTGGAGATTTTGAGAAAAGACTAAGGTGGAAAAGGTTGGTTGGGCCTCTTTGTTCTGAAAGACAGTGACCTAGTCCCAGTCTTCAGAGGTTGAGAGGGACACAGGCTTGTTTGCAAATAGCAAGACAATTGCATGGGGACACTAGCGTTTGTTTGGGTGTGTACAGGAAGCCCTGCTCACACCTGGGGAAATGGACTTTGAAGACTCATTGCTACCCCAACAAGTGATGGGGACAGAAAAGATCACTGGGCTCAAGGGCTACTAGTTTTGTTGTGGTTGTGTTTTGTTTTGTTTTGTTTTGTTTCGAGATGGAGTCTCACTCTGTCGCCCAGGCTGGAGTGCAGTGGCACTATCTCAGCTCACTGCAACCTCCACCTCCCAGGTTCAAGCGATTCTTCTGCCTCAGCTTCCTGAGTAGCTGGGACTACAGATGAGCACCACCACGCCTGGCTAATTTTTGTATTTTTAGTGGAGATGGGGTTTCACCATGTTGTCCAGGCTGGTCTCGAACTCCTGACCTCAGGTGATTTGCCCACCTCGGCCTCCCAAAGTGCTGGGATTACAGGCGTGAGCCACGTGCCCAGCCGGCCACTGGGTATTTTTAAGAACCAAGGAGAGAGGAGGTTTTGAATGGCAGAAGATTAGAAGACTAGACCCAGCTGCTGAAACAAAGGCCAGGTGGTGGGGCCCTCCAGTAGGGACCCCCAAACCACTGGCTGGTTCTCACCATTAGGTGCTTTCACTGGCCTCTGCCTTTGCATGCACTGTTCCTGGCCTGAAACACCCTTCACCTCACTCTTGGCCTTCAACGCTTAACCTTCATTGAACACCATGTGGATTTGAGTGACATTCCAAGATTTGGAGCAGATTGAATTTGGTGTTGAGAGGAGCAAGAGAGAGAAAGACGTCAAAATAAGTCAAATGTGTTCCTACTGGTGTATTGCAACTTGTAGTGATGCAGGAAGTGGGGAAATTGGAAAGGAGGGAGTTTGTGGGGGAGGAGATGCTCTCCTTCTTTGAGCAGGGTGGATTTCTCCGGCCAGTGACACAGTCATTGAGGACAGCCAAAGTCATCAAGAAAAGACACAGTGAGAACTCAGCCTTGGGGGTGGTGACCTGGGAGTCCCTGGGTTGCTAGTTAGTGGTCAGAACTGGGCCTGATGGACAAACTCAGGCAAGGTAGGGGTTAGGTGGGGACCAAAGCAGGCCAGGCTGATGGTGGAGTGCGCAGGGCCAGGCACCCTCCCTGGAGGCATCAGCCTGGGCTTGCTTTACTACTCTGGAAGGGAACCCAAGCCCCAGGACGCTAAATCTTATGCCAATGTTCAAATATAACCATTTCTTTCTTTTTTTTTTTTTTTTTTTTGAGACGGAGTCTCTCTTTGGAGTGCAGTGGCGCCATCTTGGCCCCCTGAAACCTCCGACTCCCTGGTCCAAGCGATTCTCCTGCTTCAGCCTCCCGCGTAGCTGGGATTACAGGCATGCGCCACCGTGGCCAGCTAATTTTTGTATTTTCACTAGAGACAGGGTTTCACCATGTTGACCAGGATGGTCTCGATCTGCTGACCTTGTGATCCGCCCGCCTCGGTCTCCCAAAGTGTTGTTGGGATTACAGGCATGAGCCACCACGCCGGACCAAATATAACCATTTCTAAAAGCATTCCTCAGCGCTTGGAACTTGCGAGCTGATGGCTTTTGGTGGAGCCCAGGAGGGGCGCTGTGGGGCACAGACGTGTGCGGGGCCGGCAGCTGCGGAGAGAGCAGCGCACCCCAGCCTTCAATTCCCCGCCGAAGATGGGACTCTGCCCAGAGCCGAGGCCCCTGGCTGCTGCCCCGCTCCCTTGCGGCCGCAGTGACACTCAGAGCCAGATTCCTCAGACAATCTTCACTCCTCCGTGGTGGCTGCCTTGGGAGGCGTTGCGGGGTGAAGGAAGTCGCAGCTGGTCCCAAGCAGTGGGGAGGGCAGGACAGGGAGTAAGACACCGCCTTCCTGGGGTGCACACGGAGGAGGGGCGCTGCCCAGGAGCGGAGGGGAGGGGAGCGGAGCGCGGAGAGGAGACCGGTGCCAGACTTCACCCGCCTAGCTCTCGGAACCCCCGGGGGCCGCGCTCGGCTCCGCCTGGGGGCTACCGGTTCTGGGCCAGGAGAAGAAGTGGCATCCGCGGGGCAGGGCGGGCGGTGACGGCCGGCTCAGGTGGCGGCCCCACCCCAGCGCCCTTCAGCAGGCCTGGGTCGGTCGGCCTCGGACCCCGTAGGCGCCGGCGGAGCTGGCGGCAGGGACCCGACAGCTCTGCCGCGGACTCCGCAGGGGACATCCCCCACCCTGGCGGCCCACCCAGGCGGAGCGCGGCGGGGACCGTGCATCTAGCGCGCCCTGGTGACCTGCGGGCCGAGGCGGGCTGTGGGGCTTGGCCCCGCGACTCAGCCTTCCGGGCCCACAGCGGCCCTGACCCGGGAAGTGCGGAGGTTTGGCCGCCTTCAACAGCACCTGCCAGGCCACTGGGAGCAGCGGGGGAGAAGTGGGCTCGCACACCGACGGCCTCCCGGGTTCGGCGGGGACGACCCGAGCTAGGAGCCCGCGGGGGCCGTGGGAGCTGCTCCGCCGAGGTGGACCCGGGGCGCCCGCACCCCTCACCTTCTTTCCGTGGGGTCCGGGGCCAGGGACGCAGCGGGGGACGGCGGGCATCAGCCGGGCAGCGCCCGAGCCGTCCCTGGCCGGGTCCCCACACCTGCGTGCTCGGGCATCCCCAGGGTCGGGGGCGCGGTGAATCGTGGTCCCCGCAGCCCGGGGCCCGCCAGGCCCGCGGAGTCAGCCCACCCTGGCGAGGGGCCCAGGCACCCGCATTTAACCAGTCCCGACCTCGGCACGTGGCGGCGCCGGTGTCGCAGACTCGGGCCCACTTCTGGGAGCTTTGGTGCGAGGGGGAAAGTGCCCCTGCGGACGGGCTCGGGTGCCCGGTGCTGCCCCGCCGCCATCCCCGGCACGCAGAGGTGGAGAATGCCAGGCAGCCTGCCGTCCTAATTGGAAGTGGATGTTAAAGAGGAGAAATTCAGTTTTGTCAGTGAAATGTCACGGATTTCGAGTCTCAAGCCCACCCCTAGCCCTTTGGTATTTGACTATCTTTATCCTTGGCAGTGTGTGATTCCCATGTTTCAAAGAAAGAACTTTAAAGGTTCATAAAGCTCCAAAGATTTCAAATAGCTCTTTTAAAAGCACTTTGATGGTTTAAATGCAGACACATGAATTACATATCTCTTAAATTACACAGGGTTTTAAATCTAAGGGAAAATGTCTTTGGCAAAATGAATTGGGGTTTTGTCTTGTGTAGGTAGGTTTTGTGTGTGTGTGTGTGTGTGTGTGTGCGCGCGCGCGCGCGCGCAACATTCAGATCCATACTGGGTGGGGGAAGGGAGGCAGCTGGTGAGGATGCAGGGCTGCCTGCCACCTGGCCCCTGCTCTCTCACAGCACACGGGGCACGCGCTGGTCTGGGCCCTGTGTGATCCTCTCAGGTGAGGACAGCCATGTGGCCACATCTGACCCCTGAAGGTCAAAAGGATAAACTCCTCTAGGGAGGGCGTGCCTCCTCTCTTCATACCCTCCCCGCTCAGATCAGCGGTGAATGGGGGAATGAATGATACAAACAGCTCATGGAGGTACAATCACATCTCCACTCACAACGCCTGCAGCTGGCCCGTGACCAGCAGCAACTGATCTAAAGATCAATCTCACCGGTCAAACCTTCAAGAAAACAGCAGTAAACAGAGACTCGGAGCCTAGGAGGGGGCAGTTTGGTACAGCAGTCCCGGTTTATCCACAGTTTCACTTTCCGTAGTTTCAATAACCAGTAGTCAACCGTGGTCTGAAAATTGGTGAGCACAGTGTAATATATTTTGAGAGAGAGGGAGACCACATTCACATCACTTTTATTACAATATATTGTTGTAAATGTTCTATTATTGTTGGTCATCTCTTCCTGTGCCTAATTTATAAATTAAACTTAATCATAGGTATGTATGTATGTATAGGAAAAAACATAGCATATATAGGGTTTGGTACTATCCAAGGCTTCAGGCATCCCCTGGGGGTCTTGGAAAATATCCCCCACCAATAAGGGGAACTTACTATATTGTGAATACTCACGCAGGGTCAGGCTGCATGGGCTTGAATTCCTACTCTGCTACTTATTATCAGGGTGACCTCTCTAATCCTCAGTACCCTCACCTATAAAATGGTATCATAGTGGCCCCTATGGCACTGGATTATTATGAGGATTGTTCTAGATATATATGAAGCTCTTAGCAAACGGCCCACCCCACAGGCACCTTTGAGATGGTGGTGATAGAGAGTATAATAGATGAGGGTGATAGTGGTTATGGTGATGGTGGTGATGAGGGTGGTGGTGATGGTTGTGGTGAGGATGAGGGTGATGGTGATGATGATGGTGATGATGGTAAGGATGGGGGTGATAGTGGTGGTAGTGGTTATGGTGATGGTGATGATGAGGGTGGCAGTGATGGTGGTGGTGGGGATGAGGGTGATGGTGATGGGGGTGGTGGTAGTGATGATGATCAGGATGGTGATGAGGTGGTGATGGTGAGGATCAGGGTGACGTTGTGGTGGTGATGGTGGTCACCCCACAAGCTCTCAGCAACTGGGTCCCAGTGTTATCGCTAGACTCTCCTGGTGTCTATACCTCCTGTCTGCACCAGGTGTTTTTGTGCACAGCATGTCTCATCACCCCATCCTGTTAGTGGTGAGCAGCCCCTCCTCCCAGGCCTGAGAGATTCATCTGTTGATGAGGCGGATGGGCAGAGGGAAGACCTCCTGCTGTGCTCAGGCAAATCAGACTTTGCCAGGGAGTCCTGAACAGTCTTGTGCATGTATGAGCAATGGTAGAAAAGAGGATCCTCTAAACTATTTCTTAGAACAATAAGCTTGGGAATGAGATTTGCCTAGACGAAAGGGTTTCAAAGGCAGCTTTTAGGGGTCGGTTCTTCCATAGAAGCAGGACATATCGGCAGGCCCTGTGGAGGGGCCAGGTCCAGTCACACATCTTCCTGTTTCCCACTCTTCCCAGGAGCCCTTTGCACAGAAAGAGAAGTTTCCTCAATCACATCTCATCCCATCCCCAGGAGTTCTCGGTCTCTCTCCCTTGCCCTTGATTGACATGATGCCAGTTACCATTTCTCTGGTTTGGTGCATGTTCCATATTTATTGATCTATCTGGCTCCTGTGCCCCAGTTCCAGTGGGGATTGTAAGGCTCTGGAGGGCAGTGACCCTGATCTTTCTCAAATGTCCCACATGGCATTTAGCAACAGTAGGAGGGCACCCCCACATTCTGCATCTCCCACGGACCTAGAATGGTGCTTTGTACATACTGGCAAATGTCCACTGAATAGATAAGTAGCCAGTGACAGGTGGGGGTGAATGTCATTGTCTCAAAGCAGGCTCTATCCTTGTCCTTCCCAACTCAGGTGGCCCCAAATGCTGTGTGTATGGGCTGGGGTTATGCTCAAGGTGGGCTGCAACGTGGGTGCCTCTGGAGGGCAGCCACTCAGCTCCGACACCTCTCCTTTTAAACACAGCCTGGGGGCTACTGGGGAACTTGCCTCCTCCGTCTCCCCAGGAAACTCTTTGTGATTTTAAGCAATCAATATTATTAGATTTTTTAAAACGAATTCCTCATCCAGTCAGTTTTCATGCCAAACTCAAAAATGCTTCAAAACTCAACACCCTCCACATCACAATGTCTGGTGAAACTGCTAACTCCTGATTTTACCGCAAGATTCATTGTGGGGTTGGGGGCTGGGGGAGGAATGAGCTGGAGAAACCCCACAAAGCGCCACCACCATCCTAATCTCTCTCTATTACCAAAATGGACGGCAAGATGCGGATTACTGCGGCTATAAATCAGCTTTGTGTTGGGGCTAATCTGATACATTTTTCAAGTGTTGTTCTCTGTTCAGCTTTCAGGGAACTGCTCGGTTGGCACAAAGTTCGCAATCAATCTCCTCTGGTCGCTCCCACCGGCTCGCCACCTCCTCCGAGCCGTCCTAATATTTTATACATAAACCAGTTTCGATTCACAGGGCATTCCAACCAGTAAATGCTCTAAGATTCATCTTTATGGACTGGCAGCCCAGCCTTGTAGGCGTCCCAGCTTCTTAAGATTAAAAGGAGTTTTATTTGGTGTGTGATGCTGCGAGGGGAGGAGATGCTGGCGGCTGGCGGGTTCTATTTTTATTACGCGTGCTCCTCTCCAGAGAGGAGGAGGAGGCAAGGCTGGAGAGAGGCCTCGAGGGCGGGGTCCTGGAGATGCAGCCTCTTCATTGCCCCTCTTATTCCAGACCCTCCCAGCCCTGTGTCTGGGGTCCTTTGAGGTTCCCCAAGGCCTAAGCAAACAGGGGTGTTTGCAGTGACCAGGTGTGCATCTTGGCTGGTCACAGGGTTGCAGCCCAGTACCCAGGGAAGAGGGATCCAGGATCAAATAGATAGGACAACCGCTGGGGGAGGGGCCGGCCCCACCGGAGGAAATGAAAATAGTTGCAGTTTCATTTGCTTTAAAGCACAGCCCTTGTAATAAATGCGCACAGCAAATGTGCTGAGCAAACACCTCGGCATTCATCACTATGCGGGGGCTGTTTACTGCCTCATAAACTTGGAAGCAAGTGATATTGTCTCCTAAATCAATGGCTGCGCGGACAGCCTTGGCGCTCCAGGAGAACAGCACGGCCAGGCCGCGCCCGTGCTGAAATTAATGACTGGAGCAGTGACTGGAAGGTGCTTAGTCACTGCCGAGGGGATTAGGAGCCATTCCAGGGGACGAGCAGCCAGCGTGAGTGAGCGTGTGTTTTGGGGGAGGGCTGATGGGCTGTGAGGGTGTCCCTACATGGGAGCTGCACTCAGGGTGCAGGGGCCGATGACCCAGCCCTGGGGAGGGAGGGAGGGAGGAGGGGAGGGCCTGGCTGAACCGGGCTCCAGCCCCCTACTCCCGGGGATCCCCAGCACCTTGCAGCCGGCCAGCTTGGGGTAATTGCTGAGGAAGAGGGTGGAGGGAGGGGAGCCAGGCAGCCAGGTTTCCAAGGGGGATCCCGGGAAGTGTTTATGGAGGTAGACGCTGCAGTGGGGGCAGTCCCACAGGGGCCTGGCCGCTTCTGGGAGGCTTCCAAGGTGGGATGGAGAAAAGGACACCTGCCCTTGGCAAATGCTGTCGTGTTGACGAAGCACCAGCCCATTAATGAAGCAGGCTCGGGAGGAGCACTGCGGGCCAAGCCGGCTGCTGCCCTGTGCTTCCTGTGGGGTACTGAATGGTGGCCCCCAAAGTATGTCTGCATCCTAATCCCTAGAACCTGTGAATATGACCTTATTTGAAAAAAAGGCTCTTTGCAGATATAATTAAGGATCTTGACATGAGGAGATCATCCTGGGTTACCTGCGTGGGCCCTAAATCCAGTGACAAGCGTCCTTTAATGGAGAGGCTAAGGGAGATTTGAGACAGGTAGAAGGGAAGAACAGAGAGGAGGAAGCCATGTGGAGTCTAAGGCAGAGCCTGGAGTGAGGTGGCTGCAAGCCAAGGAATGCCAGGCACTGCCAGTGGCCACTCGGTTTAGGGCTTCTGGCCTCCAAGCCACGAGAGAATGAACATCTGTGGTTTTAAGCCACCAAGGCTGTGGTCATTGGTAACAGCAGCCACAGAAACTAATACACTTCTCTTCCCCAAACCTGGGCTCCCCTACAGTCCAGCAGCTGCGCCCTACATTTCTGGGGATGACTGGTTCTGGCCAGAAGTGCCCAAACCGGTGGGGGCAGCCCAGCCTGGCAGAGCCTTGGAAAAACTCTGAGTTTCCTTCTCTTGGCCTCAGCAATCACTCCTATATAATAATAGCACCATTCAAAGCGCAGGTGATTTTGTTCGCCTGAATTTGTTAACCTACTCAGGCACTCAGCAACTCATGCCAAGCAAAGTGTCACTTAAAGCAGCAGGTGCCCCCAGAATTTTACTGAGGTCAAAATTCGGCCTGGGCAACATGGTGAAACCCCGTCTCTACTAAAAATACAAAGATTAGCTGGGCATTGTGGCACGCGCCTGTAATCCCAGCTACTTGGGAAGCTGTGGCAGGAGAATCGCTTGATCCTGGGAGGCAGAGGTTGCAGTGAGCCGAGATCGCGTCACCGCTCTCCGGGTGTGTGTGTGTGTGTGTGTGTGTGTGTGTGTGTGTGTGTGTGTGTGTGTGTGTAATGGACCTTGGGACGAGCTACAGGAAGCTGTGATGCCAGGTGTGGGCCTTGCACCCAGCTCACCCATGCTGCCCCAGGGCAGCTTCCTTGTCCACACCCCAGCCGCTTTCCAGTTAAACATTTATTCTCAATCGCAGCCCCAGGTCCTTGTGTCTCGAGTTGTCTCACTTGTTTCCCTTCATGTGCCCATCCCTTCCACTGGGGGTAGAGATGGGCAGCGCCTGAGCCCGGGCAAAGAGGTTCATAAGTCATTTCACAAGACGATGAGTTAACTGACTTACTGACAGGCAGAAGTGGATTCGGAGCCAAGTTCCCTCTGATAAATGGAAGAGGGTGCCATGGGGGAAAAGCCTGGTATTTTCTGGAGGGTCTCACGTTACCTTGATAATTTTGAGTGTGGTTTAAGGTTCAACTCTCTGCCTTATAGGATGAGAAACCCCAAATCGTTCTCACCCAGAGACAGAGGGCTTCCTCTCGCAGGGGGCCCAGGGGAAACTGTTAAGGGCTGCAGGATAACAAATTATTAACTAATGGTGAGAAATATTTCGGCTCTACTGTGGGAAATTGCCAATATTTGAATGCTTCTGCCCTATAAAAGTGGCAATTTCATATGGCTCAACACTGCTATCGCCACAGGGGTCTGGGATACTCAGATCCCTTTGACCACAATTGTCCCCTGCAGGTCCCACATGTGGGAAGCCCAATTCTAATCCAAGAGGTTCTTGGTGAGCAATGAACTGCAGCAGGGATTCCGGGGCGAGAGGGTGAGGAACAAACAGGCAGACCCCGCCAGCTGTCAGCTGGGAGCCAGCCTGGCGCCCACCACTCCACCATGATGGTCTTTTGTTGAACAAACACAATTTTCCTGGACACCAACATCGAACAAGGCAACTCTGTGACTGGATAGGGGGAGACAAAAACAAGACCACTTGTTCAAACAAGGTAATCATGTTTGAACACAGACACACACACAGCACACTATTCAAACCACAAAAACAACCACACGTGCCTCCCTCTCACCCAATGTCAATGATGGCTACTTCCTTACCAATGACAGCCTTAGCTCGCTCTATCCTTTCTCGTCTTGGATAAAAACTAGTGATACCCAATTATACCCAATCCAGAGCAACTGCTCCCAAGTCACCTAACGCGAGCTCAACTCCTATAACAAGGTCACCTACCACCCTCTTACTGAGACACCCCAAGTTTCCCTGTGGTGTGCGGTTTCCCCTGTGGCAACAAGTACCCAGAAACCTAACTTTATTCAACTATGTGTTCCTGGTTTCTTTGGCTCATGGGCATTGATAACGGCAACAGGCTCTGGCAGCCTGGACCTGGCCATCTCTGCATTGACGATTGGCCCACCACCACCGCCATAATCACCACCACCGCCACTATAACCACTTCCAGCAGTACCACAATGGCAATCCCCTCACCAGTGTTACTGCCACCCCTACCGGCACAGTCCTCACCACCTCTCCCTAACTGCTAAGTGAGGTATACACATTTTATCCTCCTTTAATTCCATGAGTTAAGAACTGTTGTCTCCACTTTCCCAAATGAAGCTCTTATGGCTCAGTGAGGTGTTACAGACTAAATGTTTGTGTCCTCCTCCACATTCGTGTTGAGATCTTCTTCCCCAGTGTCATGGCGTTAGGAGGTGAGAGCTTTGGGGGAGATTAGGTCATGAGGGTGGGGCCTTCATGAATGGGATTAGTGCCTTTACAAAGGACACAAGGAGAGGACCGTCACCTGCAACTTGGAGGGCCATCACCAGAACTCAGCCAAGCTGCACCCTTTGTTACAGGGGCTTTAACGGACTGAGACACCAGGTTAGGTAACTGGCTCAAGATCGCACAGCTCAGAACTGGCAGAGCAGGGCTTTGGATCCCCAGTCAGCCAAGGACACTCTACTGCTTCCCCTGAAGCAGAAGAAGCCTTTGGGCCACCCCACACCCACCCCAACCCACCCCACTTCTCCCCCGTTCCCACACCCTTCCCTCCTCTCCTTCCCCCTGCTCAGATATGAGCTCCCCGCAGTTGCCTCTGAGACTCTCCAGGGCAGTCCTGGCTGGTCCCATCTGACTTGCAGATTGTTGTGTTTCTTTAAGGTGGCTTTGCACGCATTGTCTCCAGTGCCCTGTGTGTGGATTTCACAACTGAACGTGTGCAGGATGATGTTATTTCCTTCATACCAAGTCCTCCAGTCTATCTCCCTGTTGCCACCATGTGCCAAATGCAGTGAGCACATAAATTCTTTCCAAAGCCAAGAATAGAAACCAAGATTTATGAGTCTCAATCTATTACTGTAACCAGCAGGATCACTTTCTCCCCATATCCTTTATTTCATGGCCATATTTTTCTTTGTAAATGGCACCTTTTTAAGATGCTATATAAAGAGGCCCAATTCAAAGTTTTAAATTCAGATTATTTGGGCTATTTGAGAACATTCTAAGCAGCTGAACTATGGGTTGAAATACCCTTTTTACATGCTTGAATAAGTCCAAACAGCTTAAAGGATTTCCTTCAAGTTTTCAGAAAAAAAAAAGATTTACTTCTAGACTGAGGAAAAAAAATATGATAAACTTCTGCACAAAAGCAATGCCCTGAGAGAGAAATCACTTATGTGGCTGTGAAAATCAGGGGCTTTGTAGAAAATGCAGCCCAGCCTACAAGCAGAGGTCCCCTGGGCTCTTAATGCAGATGTCAAGGGTGTTTGCAGAGAAGCAGGCTCAGGTGGGTTTAGGGGGTGTCTGAAGGCCGAGATCTCTTCTTCCAGTGTGTGTTTATGCTAAACCCCAGAGATAAGGATTAGAGGTCGGGCAAGGTGGCTCATGCCTGTAATCCCAGCACTCTGGGAGGCCAGGGAGGGCGGATCACTTGAGGCCAGGAGTTCAAGACCAGGCCTGACCAACATGACAAAACCCGTTCTCTACTAAAAAATACAAAAATTAGCTGGGCATGGTTGCACATGCCTGTAACCCCAGCTACTCCAGAGGCTGAGGCAGGAGAATCGCTTGAACCCGGGAGATGGAGGTTGCAGTGAGCTGAGATTGTGCCACTGCACTCCTGGGAGACAGAGCAAGACTCTGTCTCAAGAAAAAAAAAAAAGGATTAGAAACAGAAATCATGCTCACTATAAAGTAGTTTAAATTGTTATTGATTCTGTTGAGTGTGAATGGGGAGCTTTTCAGTTAGGGCATGGGGGTGGCAGGTGGCACAGTTCACGGGAATGGCAGTAGCATTCCTGGTGCTCCAGGGAATTTCTCCTTTTATTGCTAGTGAGGCTGCACTGTGGTCTAGAAGCAGCTTCCAAAAATCTTCAAAAGACACATCACTGAGATGGTGGCTGCTCACTCTCTGAGCTCCTGCGTGCATAAAAACACTTCCCCGCTGCAGCTGTGGAAGCAACGGTGCTGCGGTTTGCTGTCTGCACCCCGGGATCTGCCTGCGGCACTTACCTGCTCCCAGGCCACTCCTGAGAGGAACGCTTTCCAGACTCGGGGTCCTCTCCTGATTGGGGACGGTTGGGGGGGGCGGGGGCGGTGCTTCACAATGTCCTCTCTGATCAGCTGTGAAAATGAGTCCGTGTTAAACAAACAGCATTGTTCCATGTGAGCGGCATGGAGGCCTCACCCTGTCCATGAACTGCTGGAGACAAGAGTGGCCATGCTATTGTCTTTCTTGAGAAAAACCTTTAAACCAGGTTCAAGGGTTCCTTAAGCCTTGGGTGGGTATCCGATTACTTTTCTTTTCCCCCAATGCGTCATTAAAAAAATTGGCTCCATAGAACACTTGTCTCATCTGTTTAGCTCACAGACAACCCCCACTCTCCCCGCAAGAAAGACAAACCCCAGTCTCCCCCAGACAGCAACCCCATCTCCTCAAAGACCTTGGGCAGCTGCCGGCAGGGATAAGAGCCACGTGCTTTTCATTACACCAGGGAGGCCATGTTCTGTTGTTTGGTTTTAATATTTCACAATGGTGATTCCAGCCAGAAATGAAAGCATTAAAAGGCTCTCTGGCTCATAAGCCCCCTGCCTGGCCCTGTCCTGCGTGGGCAGGTCGTCACTCCTGATGCAAGTGGCAAATGCTTAGCAGGCCTGCACTTTCCATGAAACGCAAACCCTCCAAGCCCACAGCCGGAGCGGAGGGTGCAGGCGGCCCCCTGCACAGCCCCCTCCTTCCCCAGACCCACTTTCTCCCGCACCGCGGGGCCTGTCCCCCAATGGGGGCCTCTATTGGGTCTGGTCAGCGCGGGGCCCCGGCCCTCCCACCAGCGGGGTCCTGTGGCCTTGTTGCGGGGAAGCCCTGAGCCTCTGGTCCTCAGGGCCCCAAAGCCAAAAGGGGGCTGCTCTCTGGAGTGCTGGCCTCCTTTGGCCGCCGGAGCGCCGCAGGGCCAAGATGGATCAGTGTATCCGCAGCCGCGTCAGAAATACATCGATTTTTGTTACAGCCACGAGGCCCATCCAATTAAAAATAATCACCAGCGTGTTCCAAGTCCTTATTCTTGCCAAGTGCATTGATGGCTGCTCACATGGAACAATGCTGTTTGTTGGACACGGACTCATTTTCACAGACGATCGAGAAGAAATTTTGAAGCACACGCGTGCCCCCAATCCTGGGCGGTCTGCAGGTTTTCCGAGGTGGTATTAATCCGCTTAGGCCTTTAGGGGGCTTGGGCCAGGGCAGCTTTCCTTGTGTGGGGCTGGAGTCATTACTAACCATTTATTAGGCTTCTGTCTAGAGTCAGGGCACAGGCCAAGGTGCAGTCGCAGCGAGAGAGGAGAGATAACGCCCCTGTGTGGTGCCTGGGAAGCATTTGTAAACTGCCAGCAGATTGGGAGGGGGAGGACAGGCAGGTCCTTGGAAATTACAGAGCCGTGGATGCACATCTGGTACCACTATGTAAACATAAAGGACACATAGGATAGAGACAGGACGCAAACCTGCCCAGGTAGGACTGTTTATTTGCTTACTGGTAATGGCAATGATGGGATGGAAAAGTCAGTCACTGATATCACACAAACCTGGATTTGAATCCCAGCTCTACCGCCAACTAGCTGTGTGACCTTAGGCAAGTCACTTACCCTCTCTGATGACTGGTTTAATCATCTCTAAAATCTGGCTAATAATACCTTCCTGCAGGGATTGAATGGCATTATCACTTATAAAGCCTTTAGAATAGTACCTGGTGAATACTAAGTCATCAAAGAACACAATTTTGATTAGTTTCTCAGTTTTCTGTAACTCTCAGCAATCTTCCGAAGGTCCATTTGCTGAAGTCTGGAAGTATCCCAAGAGTCTATATTTAACTTTTTTTTTTCCCCCTTCTGGTTGAGGGTAGCAAGGAATGAGAAACTATATACAGAAAAAGATTCCTTGACAATCCCTACTTTTTTTTTTTCTAGAGATATTCTTTCTTTCCAAACTTTTCAAGGTTTCCTTTTTAGCCCAGATTTCTGTTTAGTAGAGCAACCATATCAAGTTTTTTTTTAATTTTAATTTTAATTTTTTTAATCGAGTCTGGCTCTGTTGCCAAGGCTGGAGTGCTGTGGTGCGATCTCCGCTCACGGCAACCTCTGCCTCCTGGGTTCAAGCGATTCTCCTGCCTCCCGACTCAAGCAGTTCTGCCTCAGAGTAGCTGGGATTACAGGCATGTATCACCACACCAGGCTAATTTTTTGTATTTTTAGTAGAGATGGGGTTTCACCATGTTGCCCAGGCTGGTCTTGAACTCCTGACTTCAAATGATCCACCTGCCTCAGCCTCCCAAAGTGCTGGGATTACAGGCGTGAGCCAACGTGCCTGGCCCAATCACACCACGTTCTGGCGAATACGGATGCAGAATGTCTGGGTGTTAGCAGTGTGTCTGGGGGTGGGGTGGTTCTCATTGTCCTTGCTGGTGTGGTGTTTCCTTTCATGAGGTCTTTAGGTGTGTAGCTAGCTGAGGCCATGTGGTACAGTGCTTAGGCAGTGGGCTTGGGAATTCATCCACCTGCTTTTAATCCCTACCATGAACTCATTTTGTCATCCAAGTTCTCCAGGTCTCAGTTTGTCTGTTAAACAGGGATGATAAGGATAATACCCTCTTCCTGGGATTGTTGACCCCAGACACTGAGTTTTAGGTTCCTGACATCAAATGGACTATTATTTTGTAATATTGCACTCTTCCAAAATACCTTTTTCTAGAAAGTAACCAAATGATTTGTGACTCAGAGTTGAGATCTCCCTGCTCAGTGTATTCACCAGAACTTAGTAGGGTTGTTCTTTTTAATTTAGCCATTTTAGCAGGTGGGAAGTGGTTTTAATTTGCATTGCCCTACAGACCAACGATTTTGAGCATCTTTTCATGTGGTTATTTCTCATCTATATATTTTTTTGGCATTATCTGACAATTTGGCAAATTGTTCAAATCTTCTGCTGTTTTTGCTTTTTTTTTATTATTTTGAGAGTTTAACAACTATATACTAGGTACAAGTCCTTTATAAGTATTTTGCCAATATTTTCTTCCAATCTATAGCATGTGTTTTTGTTCTCTTAACACTGTCTTTTTTTTTTTCTTTGATATAAGGTCTCACTCTGTCACCCAGGCTGGAGTACAGTGGCATCATCACAGCTCACTGGAACCTCAACTTTCCTGGGCTCAGGTGATCCTCCTACCTTAGCCTCATGAGTAGCTGGGACTACAGGTGCGCACCACCACACCCAGCCAATTTTCTTGTGTTTTCTCTAGAGAAGGGGTTTCACCATGTTGCCCAGGCTGATCTCAAACTCCTGGGCTCAAGCAATTAGCCCAGCTTGGCCTCTCAAAGTGTTGGGATTACAGGTGTGAGCCACATTGTCTTTTGAAGAGCAGAGGTTTTTAATCTTGAACAAGTCTAATTTATCACTTTTTTTTTCTCCTATGGATCATGCATTTGGGTGTGGTAGCTAAGAAACCTTTGCCAAACCAAGGTCACAAAATTTTCTCCTATGTTTTCTTCTAGGAGTTTTATAGTTTAGTTTTTACATTGAGGTCCAGGATCATTTCAAAGCTAAGTTTGGTATAAGGTTCGAAGTTCACATAGAGGTCCCATTTTTTGCATATGGGTGTCCAGTTATTCCAGCATCATTTATTGAAAAGATGATCCTTTCCCCATTGAATTGCCTTTGCACCTTTGTTGAAAATCAGTGGACCACCTATGTGAGGAGGGGCTCTATTCAAGGGAGCATCTCAATTCATTTTATAATCTTGTATTAAAATTCCCTGCTCCTGGCCTTCATCCCCTGAAACTTCTCCCTGTTATACCCAGACAGGGTCCCCCACTCTCATCCATGGGCACTGCTCACTGTATTGGGTCTCCACCACAAAAGGCACTGACTGATCTTCTATACCCTGAAGTTCCATGAGCCTTGTTCCAGTGGAGGTTGGCTGCAGATGGGTGCACAGGCCTCTGAGAGGTTGGGGGAGTCCCCCACACCATGTCTTCCAGAAAGCCTGTCATGCGAAGAGCACTCCCCACTGTGGACCACAGCTCTGCATGCCCAAGGTGCTCTGAAACCCTGGCCAAGTTGGAGCCCTCAGAGCCCCTCCACATCCTCCCACTCCTGCCCCATCCTTACCTTCCCTTAACTCCAATCAGGCTGGAGAACCTTCAAAAGAAACTTGAGGAGAAGACCCTGTCTCCCTTTGGAATACACGGAAGGTGAACTCCTCCAGCAGCCCGCCTTGGCCGCCTCTCCAGCAGCTGCCTGGGGAGGCAGAGCACGAGCGTCTGAGGGCTGCTGGCTGCATTTCCCAGCAGTTAGGAATTAGATGAAGCCATAACCAGCGCTATACTTGGCAAAGCACCTGGACACAATAGTATGCTTAATGAAATGATTAAATGTCTCCACAGCGGAGCTTCATTTCATTGATTTAACTTTTATTGACCTCTGATGAATGTCTGCCAAAGCACTAGCACAGCATGGAGGGGCCTGGGCAGGCATCTGCCACCAGGCACGGTTTGGGCTGAACTTGTCCCCTCTTTTTTCCCAACCTGGAGAACTCAGTGCCATCATTTCTGCTCTTTAAGTCACGTCCCCTGGAGATAATTGAATGAGTACTGAACTGGAAAAATAATAATAAAATGTTTCCTTTTTCAAAGAAAATTGGTCCTGGCCAGGCAGAAACGTAGAGGGCTATGTTCCCTAACATTCCTATATTCAATTAACTGAAAATCATATGGTTTGTATCTAGGACAAAACATATTTCCAGAGAGTCCTACCAAGGTGTTCCATGGAAAATATTTTTCAAAGGGACAATTTTAATGTTAAGATTCACTGGAGAAATGCTGTCCACTTTATCCCTTCTGTAAGATTCACAGTGCACTTCACCTTAGCAAAGATGCTGAGAAGTCGTGAAGGAGATTCACCTGCTTAGCTAAATTCAGCTGCTTTTGCAACATTACTTAAGCTAAGAAATCTTTTTTTTTTTTTCACCTAACACCTATTAACACCAGGGAACTCGGTTGGGAAATGCCTTTCCAGAAAATTCCATGAAATTTTCCCATAAAAGCAGTATCTGTTGCTCTGTTCTATTCAACAAAAGCCATAGAATCAGTGAAGGGTGAGACAGTGAGGAACTGGGGGCCACCCCAGGCGCCCTAGCTGCTTCTCTCTGGCATTCCCAGCCTGACCAGACATGAAAAGAAATCATGATGTTTTCCAGCGATGCTGATGAGTCGGGGGCCGGATGCCCCAACCAGAGCTCTGTGATTAACCAGCTGAGTAAGCCTGCTTGGACCCCCAGATCAGAAAGAGTCCATCTCCCTGAGCTTACCACAGTATGCACTGACCTATGATGGCACAGTAAGTATATAGCAGATAGTTTTTATCTTTTTCTCTCCTGCCAGTTTTCTGAAGAGATTCGTTTTCTCCAAATGTCATGACTGAATTAAAAACAGTTTTTTTTCCAACTTACTTCCTTCTGCACTGCATCTCTTCCTTCTCCAAACTCATGTTTGGGACTAGGGATCTACTATGGAAGACTTCTGATTTTTTTTTTTTTTTTTTTTTTTTTGAGACAGAGTCTTGCTCTGTTGCCCAGGCTGGAAGGCAGTGGCATGATCTCAGCTCACTGCAACTTCCGCCTCCTGGGTTCAAGAGATTCTCCTGCCTCAACCTCCTGAGTAGCTGGGATTACAGGCACCCACCACCGCGCCCAGCTAATTTTTGTATTTTTAGTAGAGACGGGGGTTTCACCATGTTGGCAGGCTGACCTTGAACTCCTGACCTCAGGTAATCCACCCGCCTCGGCCTCCCAAAGTGCTGGGATTACAGGTGTGAACCACCGCGCCCAGGCCCACCCTGTCTTTTAAGAGGTATCAGCCATGAAAAAACAGAATGCCACAATGAAAGCCATTCTCCCCGCTTCGTATAGAGCCTCCACTGCCACTAATGCAGAATTAGATTAGGGGCTGACTATCCCTGTGAAATAAACTCTCCCCACAGTCAGAAAACATCTGGAAACCACGGAGTCAGCAGATAAAGCTCCAACCTTCCCTCTTGTCGCTCCCCAGCTCCCCACACAGTGTGCTGGGCTGTCATCTGCAGCGGGCACATTCATTCTCATTCTTTATGCCTTGTTATTCTGTCAATTTCTTAATCTATTTATGCTGACTTTATTTTTAGTGGGCCTATTGTGACAGTGAATCCTGAAATTGCCTTGGTTGTTTTCTGAAAATGGCTGTTACTGAACCATAATGCAGACCCCAAATAAAATAATGTAAGCCCCAGGCAGTTTCTGGAGGTCTGCAGCAGCTGTCTACATTTAGGGCTGCATATCAATTCTCGCTTCAGAGGGGCTTGCCGGGAGAGGCAGCTCGAAAGGCAATGCCATGTCATATTTAGATAAGCATCTCTGGGTCCTGCTAAAAATGCTCACTTCTTCCCCTTTTGGAAAATTTCTTCAAACATTAATAAATTCCCTCCCCTCTCCCTGTTGTTGGCAAACTATAAAAAATGCAAATGATCCAGAAACCAATTAATTTTTAGAAGGTTGCAGCTGCTTTGCTGTATTCACAAGACATGGTGGGCACATTAGGGTATGTGTCTCTGAGGCACATGCATGCAGAAGGCATCGACTTCTTGTTGCAGAAGCACCAGTTATCTCCAGATAGGAGCCATCGTTCAGCCGTGTCCGAGCAAACAGATTACTTCCAAATTGCATTCCACTTCTGAAGAAACTGCTAATGAAGGGGCCATGCCGAGGCAAAACGGTGGCCTCGTGATACATTTCCAGTAACACAATGAAAAGTTTCACCTTTTTGTACCAAGGAAATGCTTGGTGGAGAGGCAGAGGTGCCGGCACTGGCATTCTTCAGGCTGGCTCTGGTATCTTAAGTCCTGGGGGCTTTGGGGTTACAGCTACGTAAACTTGGTTAGATTTAGAGCTCATAATTGCAAACATCAAAGTCTTTATTTTTCTGGCGGTTCTGCAAAATGTCAAAATAGTATTCATGCAAGAGAACACCATCAGTCTTTTTTCTACTTTCTATGACATTCAACCATACTGTTCACAGCTCACCCAACAGCCATTCCCCCTTTCCGTTCTTCCCTTGTAGTAGAAGCTGGATTGGGTTTAGGTAGAGGGATAGCAATCCCATAATTTCAACCCCCCAAGGTACACTGTGCCTGGTCCAAACCAATCACTGTAATCCCATGTTTGGCCCAGGACTTGGCATACAACCCAGCTGTGGCCAGCGAGACACAGAGCAAGCCTGCTGATGGGGCTTCCAGGAAATACTTTTATTTTTCTTCAGATACAAGACAAAGGCATGTAAGGAAAAGACCTTTCTGCACCTTCCCCAACTTCCTGCCTCCAACGCTTCTGTGTGATGATGTGATACTTGGAACATGGTGGCATCTTGTGACCATGAGGTGACAGGCTTGGCATGGACAGCCGTGTGCTGTGGGTGGCAGAGCAGGTAACCAGGAAGCCTGGTGCTGACACCCATCCTCCTGCACCTATGCCAGCTGGGACCGCCCACCTCCGGACTTCTGACCGTGTGAGCTGACGGCCTCTCTTCACTGCCTGGTGCCTGTTGGTCAGCTGTTTCGTTACTTGTGATCAAAAGCATTCCTGATGGATTCAAGACTCTTTGAAGAAACTGGAGCTGTGTCACCTGGAATCTCTGCTGTCAGCTGCTTGAATCCCCTCCCAGCATTTCCACCAACCTGTGCTTAGGCAATTAGAGAAGGAGGAACTCAGGCCAGGCGCGGTGGCTCACGCCTGTAATCCCAGCACTTCGGGAGGCCGAGGCGGGCGGATCAAGAGGTCAGGAGATCAAGACCATCCTGGCTACCACGGTGAAACCCCATCTCTACAAAAATACAAAAAATTAGCCAGGCGTGGTGGCGGGCACCTGTAGTCCCAGCTACTCGGGAGGCAGGAGAATGGCCTGAACCAGGGGGGCAGAGCTTGCAGTGAGCCGAGATCGCTCCACTGCACTCCAGCCTGGGCGACAGAGAGAGACTCCGTCTCCAAAAAAAAAAAAAAAAAAAAAAATGGAGGAGCTCACTCTCTCTCTCCCAGGCCACCCATGCCACCTCTGGGCCCTTCTGCCGAGTCTTTGTTCTGTGATGAGGGAATTCAGCTGGACAGCGTTCCCTGGGAGGTGTGGGGGCTGAGTCCCTCCCAGAGCCTGCCTGGAAAGGGCAGGGCTTGTCAAAGCCCCAGTGTGGGAGGCATGAAGGTGAGAGCCGCGCTGGCCAGGTATGCCCTGTTCTGCTTCCTCCTGCGAGTTCCCCAGGAGGGAGGGGTTTTATTCTTTCTAAAAATAGCTTTACTGAAATATAATTCCCACACCACACAATTCACCCATTTAAAGTGTGCAATTCAGTGGTTTCTAGTACTGCCACAGACAGGTGCCACCATCACCACAATGTTAGAACATTTCGTCACCTAAAGCAAAACAAGACAAACCTTTTCCCTTTAGCTGTCATATTCCCCCAAGTCTCCAGCTCCCCACTCCCTCAGCCCTAGGCAACCACTAATCTTTCTGTCACTCTAGATTGGCCTGTTCCAGACATTTCCCATGAACGGAACCATGCAATATATGTGGTCTTGGTGTCTGGCTTCTCACTTAGCATCATGTTTCCAAGGTTCATCAGCACTTCGTTGTTTTTTATTACCAAATTGTATTCCACTGTATTGATATACAATTGGTTCTCCTTATTTTTGGGAGTTCTGTTCTGTAAAGTCACCGCAAACATTGAATTAGCAAACATTGAACCACTACCCCTACAGGAAATAGAGTTAGGTTCCTGCAAGCCTCTGGTCACATTTTTGCCTACTGATCGATATGTAATCTTGTTTTATGTGTATTTCTGTTTAAAGACAACTAATTTGATATATAATGTGTCTATATATTTATATACGTATGTGCATATGTATATATGTATAATATGTGCATATATATATAGTTGGTTCATTAACATTGAAGTTATGGCCAACAGCATTTCAACTCATATTTCAGAGGGTGGAGGTTTGTGGGGAGGAGTGTTTTCCTGGAGAGCCTCTCAACATAGATACACTTGTGTGGACCTAAAATCACCCAAGCTAGGAGGGCCAGCCCATCCTGGTCTGCCCTGGGCTGAGGGCTTTCCCAGGAGAGTGAACTTTCAGTGCTAAAGCCAGACAGGGACAGCTGCTCACCCTACCTGCCTCCTAACATCTATCCACGGGTTCTGCATCCACCCTTTGGAGTGGCACAAAACAAAGATGATCCCCTCTTTCCCCAAGTAGACTCTGAGTGAAGACACATCTTAGGTCCACTTCTCAGGCTCAATATCCTCAATTTCTTGGACCTCCTTCATATTGTGCGAGGTGGCAGAGGCTGCTTGCTGATCACCAGGCTCCTCTCCTCTTCTGCACTTTCCAGCCTCTCTCGCAGGTAGGAGTGGCCACAGGAGTTCTAGAATGTGAGCAGAAGGCATGTGGCCACTTCCAGGCCCTGCCTATACACACCTTCCACTCACAGTCCTCCATGCTCTTGCACAAGAGGGAAGCTGCCCTGGGTCACTGCTAGGGGAGGGCTGACCTCCACTCAGGAGCCCCTCCTAGGTGAGCAAGCCATAAGCGGTTGTGCTGGGTCTCTGTGGTTAGGGGCTTACCTGTCACAGCAGCTCCAATCACTTTGACTGGCTCACATGACGCAAAGCTCTTTTGTGACCAGCTCACTCCTCTGCACACATTCCTGCCTGTCTAGACTCCTTTTTTGGAGTCCAGGTGTGGTCCGTGTGTCCAAGGCTGAGGCCAATGCTCTCCCTCTTCCCACACCTATCTCTAGGGGTGTTGGGTAAGATTGCATTAACTGGGGGAGCCCCACCCCGTGGCTGCCCCACATGAAACACTGTTAAACAGCCCTCCCAAGCCGTTTTCACCCATACCACTGCAAAGTCACGTTTTCCCCATCCTCTGCAGCTGGGGGCTTGGGAACACAATAATTAGCTTTATTGTGAAAATCACCCATCACCGTAGCTCACTGAGGTCCTCTGGATCCTGATTCTGTCCACTGTGCCTTGAGTCTTCGGCCATTCACTGGTGTCTCCACTCTCCACTGCCTTACTCACAAGCATGATCACTATACTAACAACAGCCAGCACTCCACAATAAACTCTAAGTGCTTCCTGAGTCTCAACTCTTAATCTTCTCAACAATTCTCACGTAGAAACTATTATGATCCCCACTGTATAGAGGAGTAAACTGAGGCACAGTCAATAACTTGCTCCAGGACAATTAGCTAGTAAGTGACAGAGCTGGACTTAAACCCAGCAATTTGATGTCAGTCATATTGTTAACTATCAGGCTAATATGTTGTCTACACCTGGATCATGTCTGAATTCAGTTGTTGCAGACACAAATAGAGAACACAGATGTGCTCCGGGCAGCTGGGCCCTCTGCTTGGAGACGCCTGCAGTTAACACCCCTCTGCTTATAGAGCATGTTTCAGGCGTACTTGTTCAACTGGTCACTCAGCCTCAACAGCCTCCAAGCTGTTTCATCATTTTATCTGTGAGGATTTCAAAGGAAACCAGGAGCCGAGCGCCCAGAAAGAAAAGAAGACCGGAATCAGAGAGCGTTCTGCAAGTTCGCAAGTTCAAGGGCCCAGAGGCACAGTAGCCCAGAAGCCTCAAGGACTTTCTACCAAAACTCACAGGTACAACCTTGAAAACACAAGAAAAGAAAACAAGAACTTGCCTTCTTGGGCAAGGGGAGTTGAAAGAGGCCAGGCCCAGAACTCCAGAGATGAAATGGGAGCAGCTGCAGCCTGGCTGTTATTCCAAGCGTGTCGTGCTGAGAAGTAAGGGGAGTGTGTGCTCATCACTGTCTGTGGTGTGGACTCAGGACGCGCCCCCTGGAAGCATCGATTCGGCCCGAGTCGCTTGCTGAAGGTGTGCTCTGCGGAGGGGCTGCCCACCCAGCCTCTCTATATTGACCATTTTCCTGCTTTATGCAAAGTAATTGGCCAAGCATTGTACAAAAGAAGGATAATTAATACACTGGTTTAACCCTTGATGAAATTATTTTCTTTTCACCGTCCAGCCTGAGTGTTGAGAGAGATGAAATAGAAAGTTGAGAGCCGGAGAAGGATGCCTCTCCCCTCCAGTGGGGGCAGCTGGATGGTGGGCAGGTTACCCTGGTGTGTCCCAAGCCCTCGGCCACACACAGCTCATGCTCATTCCTATCAAGGGAAGAACTGCTTTCAGCAAGCTAAGGCTGGCTTGAAAGTGGTCCAAGATCTAGAATGTCCATCCCTTTGTTAAAAATCTTCCTCGAACTTCCTGTCCCTTGTCCCCCCCATCCAGACAACCAGGAGGCAGACATAGGATCAGAGCCTGGCAGGGACAAGGCACCTACTCTGAGGATAGACAAGGAACACCTGAGTTTCTAACAGGCCAGGGGTGGGTTTCAATAGCGAACAGGCTGCAAATAACAACAAGTCCTGCTAAAAAGCACTGGAAGTTGAATCAACTTCACTTTGCATATTCCATCCTGAATTATATGAGTACACACACACACACACACACACACACACACACACGGGGGGGGTTGGGAGGGGAGAGAGAGAGAAAGAGAAAAAGAGATTAAGATTTCATGTGTTTCTAACCTACAGGATTTCTCTAAACATGCTGTGCAGGTCATCCAGCAATGGAGAATATAGAAAACTTCCAGAGATAGAGAAGCCCTTCTGCTTCCAGCCCCCTGATAAGGTATAAGAGAGACAGATTTTTAATAATGTATATCCAAATAGGAGAGAAAAAGATTCTGAAACTCTAACCTTGAGACGACTCTAACCCTACATATGATATATGACCAGCAGCCACATGTTTTCCATCATTTTAAAATAGACTTTTATGTATTTTAGAAATGTTTTCCATAAGCATGTATTTCTTCAACAATCACAAAACATTAAATTTATAATAAAACGAATATGAAGATGAAAGAGAAGAGACCCACAGAGTCTTTTCTACATTTTTCCATCCTGAATTATACACACACACACACACACACACACATGCACACAGAGGTTTTATTTTTAAAACTAAAATGGTGGTTTTTAATGGGAACCAGAGGTTAGACAATTACATAGTCCAGCACAAAAAACCTGCGGGTGATCAGGAGTTGGAAGGTTACAAAGTAATGAAGGTAACACTGGATGTAAGAAGAAAAACTGTTCCAGAATCTCGGGAGTCAGGCTAATACAACCTCTCCTGCAATCCTGTCTGTGCTCACTCCTGGAGCCCATCTTGCCAAGGCCAAAGCTGCCTCTGTCCTCACCACCCCAACCCCCTTGGAAGTCCTTACAGTCCCCACCACAGCCCCAGTAGCCACCTTGATCATAGCCTCCTCTGCCACCATGACAATCATCTCCATAGTTACCCCCATATGAAACTTTTCCTGCAGCCTGGAAAAGGTCGTCTTGGGCAGAAAGCTGTGCTGCTGTCCACCATGAGGGGTCAGCTGGGGACTCCCCGCACAGGGACTACAGGCTGCAATACAAAGTGGTGCACGAAGGATCTAGAACAGACCACATGCCTTCCTCACATGGAATTTTAACAGAGCCCAGCATCTGACACGGATCAAAACAGCATCTGCAGGGACTGACTCTGGGTCACCCCAGCCCAGCCCAGTATGCAGGTAGCTCCAGGACCCAGGTGCCTTTCTTGTCACAGCCTTGGAGTGTCAGGGGCTGTGCAATGATCAGGCTCAGCCAGAGGGCTTGGGGCGTCACAATAGCTAAGGAGAAGCTTAATGCCAGAGAGAGAGGTGCAGGGTTGATCCTCAGTTTCCACACCGCGGATTATCCTGGGGGGCTTCCAGCATTTTGCACTGGGAAGCCGCAGCCGATTTCAGGAGTCATGTGATCATTGTGCACTTCTCTCCAAGGCAAACCCACTAGGAGCCCTGGGCTCACCTTGGCTCTTGCTTGACACCATCCTGGGGTCTGAAGAGAGCTGGAAGTGATTCCTGGACTGGCTGCTGTGGGTGTGGCTGGGTTTTCCCAGCTTCCTGGTGGAGAGTTTCCAGGGGGTTGAGGGAAGAGTCCCCTTCTTGGGAAGGCTGAATGCCCTGATCTCCAGGCTGGGGACCCTCTGGCTGGATGGACCCGGCCCCTGTGAGCGCTCATCGCAGGTGGGAGAGCAGAGTTTGGGGATAGGGAGATTTGGCATCGCAGATCAGACCCGAGAAGTTGGTGGAAACCTGAGGCCAGCGGCTGCAGCGTCCTGGTTGACATGGCCATGGTGGTTGTGATCATCCCTACATGGCTGAGGACAGCCCCATGTGTGACCACACCATTACCCTGGAGCCACTGCGGGCGCTCTGCCATGGACGGCCATGTGCACACCACTTGCCAGTAACCCTTGCTCAGGGTGGCCTCGGAGGTGTGAAAACAGGAAGAGCTGGCCCAGTGTGGGAGTGTGGTTTTTTGGGGTGCTGTGAGACAGCCTCCAAGGCCCCTAGATATGGCAGAGCCGGATGCTCCACAACCACTTCCGTTTAGCAGCTTTGTTGAGATATAATTCACGAGCCACACGAGTCACCTGTGGGGAGTGGAAGCTCATCGCAGGCCCTTTTGGACTTCATTTATTCTGTTGAGATGGTGGAAGGAGTCCTTGCCCTTCAAGAGATCCCTTTGTGCAGAGCCCCTGACCAAGAGGCCCACAGGAGCCCTGGGATTTTAAGTCACAGGGAAATAGGACCAAAAGAACCAATCTGGTCAACTCCTCTCCCCTCAGCCATGAAACTCTGGCTTATAACTAGGACACAAGCATTTTATTCTTCGAAAACTTTTTTGAAATATTGGAACAGAACACCACACAGACACACACACACACACGCACACATGCTTGCATACACATACTCGCGCGTGCACACACTGGCGTGTGCACACACATGGACACAAATGCACACACACTCGTGTGGGCACACACACACATATGCACACACACACGGACACACATGCACACACACAAAGACCCTGACATGGCAGGACCTTGGGAAAGGCAGCCCACTTATAATACTGTGAAAATGGGGGGCGGGGTCTCACTCTCTGTCTCTCTCTCTTTTCTCAGCCTTTTGAAATGCTTGTTTTGAGATAAATTGCTCACATCTGTGGAATCCTGCCTTCCATTCTGTGGCATTTGAGTCCCTTCTTGCTTCCCTCCCAATGCCCTGGGCTTGGGTCCTGTCTTTTACTTTTGGTGTCTCACTGTAAACATTGAGGAAGGACTTCCGGTGCGTGGAACACACAACACTTATATTTAGTTTGATGTCCCCGCCAGTCCTAAATTAAGCCACCTTCCTCCACCAGATTATCCTCTAGAATTGGTTTAATGATGATAACATTATTCATTTGACAACAAGAAATTGAACATTGTTTTTTTGTTTGTTTTATTTTCTGTTTTTTGCCTTGACCCAGACAGCTCTTCTAGCCAGATAAGTGGTATTTTACATTGGAAGCAATTATCATTGTAATTACAGAGATGGCTGTCATCAGAAAGGTGATATTCTAGGAAAAGTGTCAGAGGCTCCAGGCCACTTTGTTCCAGAATCCACCCTTGTAGGCAAACTCAGAATTTTTAATCCGTTTCTTCGCCTCTCTGTCTGCTCTTTGGAAGTCAGCCCGTGTCAGCTTTGGATGCCACTTCCTGGTTTGGCTGGAGGTCTTCTGAAGGCTGGCTTCTAGAGTATTTCAAGCTGACTTATTGATCTATCTGGTGATTTTGAACCTTTGGTCAAGAATGTAGTGCATACAAATTGCAGTCACAAAATCACATAAGCAAAAATTGTAATTTTTTTCTACAATTAAGCTACATTTTTATCCTGAACTTCTTTTCTGTCTAATGGTTAGAAAACCTAAACTAGTCAATTGCAGGTAAACTCAATTTCATGATCCAGCAGCCCTTTCGTGCTTAAGATCAGTTAAGATCAGGATTTTCTGCCAGTTTTTTTGCTAGCTTCTCATCACGGGGAGGTTGGATGGGTGGTAGCTTACCTGGTGTGGTAGGTTGCAAGTATGGCCTGACTTCACCTCTCCCTCTATTCTGCCGTTTGCCACATAATTCTCGTGTGTCCACCCACGGTGATGCCAGCCTCCGTCGCGGGACCTGTTTTGGCCAATGGGATACCAGCAAATGTAAAGCAATTAGAGGCTTGCAAAGCACTTGCATGATTAGACTTGCTTGATCTTCCCCTCTGCCCTTGCCAGGAGAAGGACATGCCCATGCCAGCCTTTGGATCCCAGGAGAAGAACGAGAGGCAGGTGAGCACAGCTGGCTCACCTGGATGGGATGGAGGCCACTGTAGCCAGCGTATGAGAAAGCAGCTCACAGCTACTGCAGGCTCATGGGAAACCCTGCATTAGGGGCACTGAGCCTGGCAGGCTCGGAGCTGAATACGTGTTCCCTGTGGTTAGGCAGCATCACAGTGAAGAGACCATGCACACGAGGTTGTGCTATCTAGGGGAAGTATCTGCCCTTCTTGCACTTGCATTTGCAGAGATAGGAGGTCTTCCTTTTATAGTTCATTACTGATATCTATTCCCTGTGAGATCCACTGGTCAGAACTGCCCCTCACAGACTGGGCACGGTGGCTCACGACTGAAATCCTAGCACTTTGGGAGGCTGAGGCGGGCGGATCCCCTGAGGTCAGGAGTTCGAGACCAGCCTGGCCAACATGGTGAAAACCCATCTCTACTAAAAATACAAAAATTAGCTGGGCATGTTGGCGGTCGCCTGTAATCCCAGCTACTTGAGAGGCTGAGGCAGGAGAATCACTTGAGCCCTGCAGGCAGAGGTTGCAGTGAGCCAAGATTGTACCACTGCACTCCAGCCTGGGGGATAGAATGAGACTGTGTCTCCAAAAAAAAAAAAAAAAAAAGAAAGAAAGAAAAAAGAAAAGAAAGAAAGAAAAAGAAAAGGAACTGCCCCTCACTGATGTTGTCCGGGGTGGCCAGGGCTCCATGGGCCTCAGGCCTGCACAGTCACTGTGATGCCCGTGGCTCTGCCTGCATTGTGGTATCCTCTGCGCCGCTCGCTTCATCCTCAGTGGACGGCCATGCCTTCGCAGGGCACCAGGAGTGCTGGCTGCCCTCTGACTGCGAGACACTGGAGAATGTTCGGTTCCCTTGATAGAATCTCATCATTACCCTGGTCCCCAGGAAAACATCTTGACTCCATCCCCTAGTCCCCATGGAATGAATTTGTCTGCACAGCCTCCCAGACCTCCAGACAGGAGCTAAGCCAAGCCCTCTGTGCTCACATCCAAAACCTGTCTTACCGATCTGTTGTTGCCCGCCCCCACCTCCCCCAACTCCCCTAGCAGTTCCAAACTGTTCCTGGCTGCCCCCAGGAATAGTCGGGAACCCCCTCATGCCTGTCTGCTATCCTTATTGTCCTGCCTCCCCTCCTCCCTGGACATCAATCCCTTTCTACAGGATTCTCCAACAGTGAAGCTTCCTCTCCCTCCAGTCTGATAGTCTTCATGAAGCCTTTAAGTGGGGTCATCTGACTTTTCATCTCTTCTCTTCCCACTTCATGTATGCAAGTTGCTGGCACACATTTCCGACTGGGTCCCTTCAGGGCTTAGCCACTCAACTTCTAAATGCCCAGCGCTTGCTTTCAAGACCATTCTCTGTGATGAGATTCAAGAATTGATTTTAATCTGAAAAGCCAAGAACTTGACCCCCACTCCCCTATACGTCTGGGTTCTTTATATTTTCTGGTTGTATTTCCAGATTAACATTGGCGGCCTGGCGCAGTGCCTCATGCCATAATCCCAGCGCTATGGGAGGCTGAGGTGGGAAGATTGCTTGAGCCCAGGAGTTCACGGCCAGCCTGGGCAACATAGGGAGACCCCATCTCTACAAAAATTATTTTTTAAAAATTAGCCGGGTGTGGTGGTGCACACCTGTGGTCCCAGCGAGGCTGAGGTGGGAGGATTGCTTCAGCCTAGGACGTCAAGGCTGCAGTGAGCCATGATCGTGTCACTGCACTCCAGTCTGGGTGACACAGCAAGACCTTGTCTTTTTTTTTTAAGACAGTCTTGCTCTTGTGTCCCAGGCTGGAGTGCAATGGCATGATTTTGGCTCACTGCAACCTCCACCTCCTGGGTTCAAGTGATTCTCCTGCCTCAGCCTCCCGAGTAGCTGGGATTACAGGCACCGGTCACCACGCCCAGCTAATTTTTGTATTTTTAGTAGAGACGGGGTTTCACCATGTTGGTCAGGCTGGTCTTGAACTCCTGACCTCAAGTGATCCACCCACCTCAGCATCCCAAAGTGCTGGGATTACAGGCGTGAGCCACCGTGCCCGGCCAAGACCCTATCTTAAAAAATAAAAAATAATTGGAAGAGGGTGGTAACTTGATACATTAAGAAAATATATGTGAAAGAAACCTCAGTTAATGCCCCCAAAGTTTATCCTATCACAAGAGTATGATTAAATTGAGAACCTCCTTTTGATTTGAGGCGATTGGCCAGTCAGAGTGTGGAACAAAGTTGAGTGAGTTTGAGTGCTGAGCAAGAAAGCGCTGGCTTGGCAGAGAGCTGTCTGGGAGAGCTGCGTTCCACTGTCAAGGCTGATGCCATCGGTGGGCCGCTGGGCAAATCACTTAGCCTCTCAAAGCCTCAATTTCCTCCTCTACAAAACAGGGGGTTGGATCAGAAGATATTTTTGGTCCATTCCAGCTTTGAAGTTCTGTGACCCAGGATTCATGCCAAGAACAATTAAGGCCAGAGCCAGATTTCTGATCTTGCTGAATTGACCACCTCTCCTTCTTTCAACTGACAGTTTTCCTTTCAGTTTCTAAATCTGATCGTTGCTATAATTGTTGGGCATTGACAATGGACGTGGGATGACAGCTGGACCCCCATGCAAACATCAGAGTGAAACAGGACAAAGATCATGGGCTTTGAAGTGAGACCAACCCAGGCTTTACGTTAGGAGGTGTTCAGCTGAAAATAACTTACAAATACCTAACAGTGGCTTCAACCATAAGGACATTTGTCACTTTCTCACCAAGAAGTCTGGAGGCAGGTGACCCTCAGATTGGTTTGACAACTCCATGATGCCATTCTGGACCTGGGCATAGTCCAAGCTTCCATTTTGCATCTTCAGCTTGTTGGCTTTCTCCATGTCACCTCATGGGTCTCAGAAGGCTGCCACAGGCCACACACCTGACTTCCATAACATGTCCACAGACAGGAAGGAGACATGGATCAAGAGGCACTGGTCCTTGAACTGTTCCCCACTTTTTACCAGGGAGAAAATCTTTCAAGAAGCCCCTCCTCCCAAAGCTTTCTCTTCTATCCCATTGGCCAGAATGGGTTACATGCTCATCCCATAGCAGCCCCTGCCAAAGGGGAACAGGATTCTTGTGACCAGCTAAGACCAATCACAATTTATCTCCTGGGGCCAGCCAGATTGCCATAAAAAACGAGGTGCAGGCAGTGCTGTGATTCATGCCTGTAATCTCAGCACTTCAGGAGGCTGAGGCAGGAGGATCACTTGAGTCCAGGAGTTCGAGACCAGCTTGGGCTACATAGTGAGACCCTGTCTCTACAAAAAAATTAAAAGAATTAGCTGGATGTGGTGGCAGTAGTCCCAGCTACTCGGGAGGCTGAGGTGGGAGTATTGCTTGAGTCTGGAAGTGTGAGGCTGCAGTAAGCCATGATTGTTGCACTGCCCTCCACCCTGGGTGACAGAGTGAGACACTGTCTCAAAAAAGGGGGGGCGGAGCTGCAAGTTGGTAGGCAGCTAACAGGATCTGCCACACTGGTTTTTAATTTGGGCTCCATTTAATTGTCTGAACAAATCACTCAGCATTCATGAGCCCCATTTCCAGCATCTGAAAAATTTCCAGCATCTGAAAAATAGGATAATCATTCTCACTTCACAGTGCCGTTGGGAGGACTAAGTCAGAGAATATGTGGACAGTGTCCAGGAGATTTGACCAGACCACACATGTCCCCTTGTTCTTCCTGATGTTACTATGGATGAAGGTAGTGGGGCATGGGCTGTGCCGAGCTGTCTATTCCCAGGTTTCAGTTTCAATAAACTCCATTTCCACAGCAAGACACGCATGAGTGTTGCCAAAGTCAACATGCTCAGCTCGCGTGTTTACGGCTGCGGCACCTGCTGCTCTAACGGGGCTCTGGGCTGTTCTGTACATATTGGTTTTGGACAGTGGCTGCGGCGATTTTGTCTTCAGATTTCTTATGGGGGAGATTTAGCATCTGGCAACATGGCCTCTAACTGCGAGGAGTCTCCTAACAAGCACTGTGGTCGGCCGTGTCCTGGAATCGGCCTTCTGTGAGGAGAGGAAAAAAGCATTGCTTAGACAAGGCACTGATTCCGTAGGACAAGGTGGCCCGTTTCATGCCCTATTGGGATCTAATGGGCATCTTAAACTTGCAAGCTCAAGTTGAACTTGGGGGTTTCCTGTTCTCTCCCCTCACAGCCAATCTGCCCGCCCCCTCTCTAAACAGAGCCCAACCCGACCTTGTTCTCTTCTCCTCTTCTTTATCCCGCTCACTCTCCTGCAATAGGCCCTGTCTGTTCCCCAGCCCAGAATGGCCTCCCGGTGACTGCGCAGAGAGAGAAGCCATGCCAGAGCTCGCTGCTGCTTAGACCCTTCTGAGGCTTTCCACTGCGAGAGGAACCCAGTCCAGATCTTTCCCTGGGCCCCAGGCCTTGTGATCTGGCCCCAGCTACCCCTCAGGTCCCTCTTCTCACACAGGGCCAGCCTCAGGGGCACTCGGCATCTGCAGGGGCTGTGACCTGGGGACCCCGACCAGGGCATCGCTCTGCTTCCCTTTTGAAATTCTGACCCGCTGTTGAACAGGAGGCCGCATTTCCTTCTGCAGTTGATCCCACAGACTCTGTCCTGTCCCCACACTCTTTCTGTCAGTCTCTGAACACCCAAAGCTCCCCCTTTCTTCTTGGGGCTCAGGACTGTTCCCCAGCCCTTGAAGTGGACCTGCCCTCCCAGCAAGGACTCCCCTGCCTGGCACTGCCCCGAAACCCAGCAGGCTCTGCCATCGCGCTGCGTGGCCCAGCTCCTCACAGCCCTTGCCCTCCCTGTAAGCTATCTTCTGTATTTGTGGTGTCTGGTTTCCCCTACACGCCAAGCTCCAAGTGAGCTGTGCCACCTGTGTGTGTACACTGGAACCCCCATGCTTAAGACAGCACCTGGCACATACAAACAGAGCGTGCACTCAGGAGAACTGTTGAATGAATGAATGAATGAAGAGCATAAAGCAACCATCTGATTCCAGAATTTAGATTCTGTTTTAGGCTTAGAGGAAGTAATTTAAAGGCACAAAAAGTGTTGCTCAAAGGAAGAGTTAATATTCTGTGATTTTGATTTGGGACAGGGGTCACCGAAGGAGAGGAAAATGAGTACGGCCATCCCTTTGCTGTACTGGCGCTGGCCTCTCAAAAGATGTGGTTAATAGGGTATTCGGAATATTCAGTGAGAGGCTCTAATGCTTTAATAAAATTAGGACTGAGGTAAAGGACAATGCCCAGAAGAGCTGCCACCACACACATACACACACACACATATACAAACACATACACAAACACACACATACACATACATGAATACACACATGCACACACATACACATACACACAAACACACACATACACAAACATGTACACATGCACACATGCACATACACACGCACACACATGCACATACACATGCACGCACAAATGCACACACCCATGCACATACACAAACACACACATACACACACATGCACACACATACACACACACACAAAAACATACACACAATGTTACACATACACACATTCATACACACATGCACACACACATACACACATGCACATGCACGCACACACACACACATACACACGTACACATACACACATACACATATACATGCGCACACACATGAGTTTAGGGCAGCAGTATCCCTTCTGAGTGGCCGCAGGTGCTTTGCAGAGAGACCGCACACAGCCCTGACCTGTGTCTGGCAGGGGATCCAAGGGTATAGACGGGTCGGCCCGAGTGAGGTTCGCACTCCCCAATTCCAGGATGCTGAGGTCCTGCCGCCTCTGCCCTCAGACCCAGCTCCGTGCAGCACCTTTGAGATCCGGGGTGATCCCCATCGCCCATGCCTGTGCTCTGGTCTCCTCTAGAGAAGGCCAGGAGTTGATTTTGGGTTTGAGGACAAAAAATTAGTCTCCCTCCAAGAGGCCTAACACGGGGCCCCAGTAAGTGCCCCGAGGCGGCTTCAATCTCTCAAGCTGGCCATTTGCACTAAGCTGCCGTGAGCACTGCACAGGATGATGTAGGAAAAGGCTGGTGAGCACGTGAGAGGCTCTGCACGCAGCCGTGGCTTCTCCGCCAGCTGTCTCGGTTCTGAACAAGAGAACACACCCTGACCAGTTTGTGTAGAAGGGGAGTTATTACAGTGTATGCAATGGTCCGTGGGACCACTGCGAGGGCTGCAGAGACAGGTCAAGACCGAGCTTCCAGGATCAGTGCTGAAAATCAGCTCCCCAGCCACTGCACTGCCACCCACACCCATGCGGCTTCTGCATGGAGCTGGGAGCGGCAGCTTGGGCCACTGCAGCCCCAACTGCTGTCACCACGAGAACTAGGGGCACTTGCTTCCACCTGCGCCGATGAAAAGGAACCCACAGAGCCTGTTCCCGCACATCACTCCCTGGCAGCTGACACCTCCTTGGGCCGCATCTGGCGGTAGAGCCTGCGTCCTCACTGCAGGGGGAGCTGGGCTTTGAATCCTGGCTTCCATGTCGAGAAGTCAAGGCTCGTAACAGGGGATTTCCTCCAACAGAGGAAGGTTACTTGGAGGAAGAGGGGCGTGACACCCAGGATGAGCTGGCCTCTCCTAAGTTGCGGTCAATGGGGAACTCTGCACCTACAGGAGCAGCCCCAGTCTGTGAGCTGCAGGGAGCATGAGACACAAAAGAAACCAACAAATAACAGGAAGCTTCAGAAAGTGTCCTTCACCCAGGCCGAGGGCTTGGCTTCTGCATCCGAGGCCCCCTGGGCATAGGTCTCTGTGGGTGCCTCGCCTGGTACCTGTGGGGAAGGGGGCAGCAGGCCTGGGCAACAGAGCCCTGGATGTTCAAAGCCAGCACCGTGGAGCTGGGCAGCCTCTGCCGGCTGGGGAGTTCTGGGTGCGGGTACTGTACCAGGCCCTGTGGCTCCTGATGGCTCCTGCTTTGAACCCCGACAGAGCTACTAATGGTGCAATTTCTCCAACAGGCCATTAGGCTGGTGTCTGACTGTTGCCCAGGGGAAATCATCACCATAAACATGATCATTGTCATAATTTGCATCCGCCCGGTGCTGAAACGAGCATTTTTTTTTTTTGAGAGGGAGCCTTGCTCTGTTGCCCAGGCTGGAGTGCAGTGGCACAATCTCAGCTCACTGCAACCTCCACGTCCTGGGTTCGAGCGATTCTCCTGCCTCAGCCTCCCAAGTAGCTGGGATTGTAGGCGTGAACCACCTAGCCCAGCTAATTTTTGCATTTTTAGTAGAGATGGGGTTTTACCATGTTGGCCAGGCTGGTCTCAAACTCCTGACCTCAGGTGATCCGCCCCCCTTGGCCTCCCAAAGTGCTGGGATTATAGGTGTGAGCCACCGTGCCCAGCCTGAACTGCATGTTAAGTCTCTTATCTATAAATACTCCAAGTAGCCCAGTGAGGTAGGTGTATCCCTACTTGACAGGGAGGACAGTGGTGCGCAGAGAGGCTGGCACGAGGAGGCAGTGGCAGCCTGGCCTGGGACTGTGCTCTGAGCCACTCGGTCAGGCTGTTGCTTCGCGAGGTGTGGACATGAGCTGCCACTTCACTCCCATGCACACTACAAACCAATGGGCCCCGTGGGCCCCACACATCACTCACAAGGTGCAGCATGACAAGCCTAGGTTGGGAGTGATGGATTCATTCTCCAGAGAACAATGACATCCCATAAGAATCCCACCTGAGTTCCTCCCCCAAGGAGCCATTTCTGTTCCCTGAGGGGTGAGGTGCAGAGTGGGGATGACCCTTGCACCCCAAGTGTGTGAGGAAGAGGATGAAGCTCCTCTTGTCTCAAAACTACAGAGAGTTGAGGACAGAGAACTCCTCTGAGACCAGAATAGGACGAGAAAGAGGGATTTTCCATCTACTCCACAACAGAAGGCCTGGGCCAGGGTCATGACGAGTCAGGGCCAAGACCCCTTGACCATGGGCCAAGTTTCCAGAGAGAACACAGCCAACCCTGCAGGTTCTGAAGAAAATGAGGCTGTGCTTGAAGATTGCTCTCGCTCAACCCGAACCCCGACTTGCCTAGTGGACTTAGTCAGCTGGCAGCAGACACTCAGAGTGTGAGGGGCCGTGGCTTGCATGGCCATCTATTCACTCACAGGCTATTGTTGTTAGAAAAGAATTTGCAATAGGATATGTGCAAGCAAAACACAAAAGATGTAAAATATATTTACAAGACCCAGGAGAGTGGTTAGAAACAAAATCAAGAGAAGGATAAAACGAGAATGCAAATAGGCAAGCTGTAGGAAGCCGCCTGAGGTCCCTGGCCAGCCCGCACGTTTGGTTTTGAGATTCCTCATTGCAGGAGTGAAAAGAGATCCGGTCAGGATCCAGACGCCTGTGCTTTCCAGTCTCCCTGGTTCCTGGCTCCCGAGGCTGTCTCTGCAAGGGCCTTTCCAGGTCAGAAGTCCTGCTTTCCGTCTGTTCTCACAGGAACCTCCCCTCCCACGCATTCCCTTCCTGTCCTCATTTTTCTGGCCCTTCTCTGGATTTATTTTCAGAAGCCTTTTCTTCTGAAGCTGCAGGGACAGCACAGAAGAGTCCAGGTTCCAGCGTTCCCAGGCCCCTCCCTGCCGTGGTAAACCAGGCTGAGCTCGGCCCTTCCCCACTGGCCTGGCCTGCCTTCCCGGCTGGGTGTGGGCCAGCGGCCAGGATGGGAAGCCCATGTGGAAAGAGATCTGTGTGCACCTCGAAGCAGCCAGCATCAGCCGGAGTGGAGCCCTGGCTTCTCCTTCAGAGTTAAGGGACTCATGACCTCCCTCATTACCCTTGGCTCATTTATAATCAGCTTTCCCATTATCTTGCAGTGAAGCCCTCCCAGAATCACATTAATTGCCTGTAACTGCTGCTGGGTGGTTCATTTATTTTTTCTAATTTACAGGATCCAAATGGTTTAACCCCAATTTTATTTTAAAACTTTGGGGGTTTTGTAAACTTCAGAGGCACTAAGGCTGAAGTGGCCAGACACAGACTCACACACATCCATATGCACACACATTATCACACGCACCATGGCACAAGCCAGGCAGGCCTTTTGGGTGAGACACGGGGGAGTCAGGCAATATGATCTGAGGGGCTGATATGTAACCAGCACTCCCACCATCACCACCAACAGCATCACCACCACCAACACCATCAATATCAATACTACCAACAGCATCACCACCACTACCACCATCACCATAACACCACCAACACCAACACCATTACCACCACCAATGACACCAACACCATTACCACCACCACCACCCTCACCAACACCAACACTAAACCATCACCACCAATACCAACACCACCACCAATACCAACACCACCACAATACCATCACCAACACCATTACCACCACCACCATCCCTACCACCACCATCATGACCACGATCACCATCACTGCCCAAGCCATCACTACCATAATAGCCATCACCAACAACATCATCACCACCAACACCAGCAGCAGCACCATTGCTACCACCACCATTGCCAGCACAACCACCACCACCATCAACACTAGCACTATCACTGTCACCACCACCATCACCACTATCACCATCATCACAACACCAACTCTATTACCACCACAAACACCATCACCACCACCACCATCACCACCACTACCATCATCACCATCAACACCATTACTACCACCACCATCACCAATAATATTATTACTCCTACTACCAACAACACTAACACCACCACTTCCACCTCCATCGCTAGCCATCATCATGTGTACACACACACACACACATGCACATATACACATTTTGTAAGTTAAATAGTGAATGAAGAAATTTGCAGGAAAAAAAGTTTGCTGACCTCCTGCAATGGTGTCGAGAATGCTATTATTTACATGTTTCTATCTTAACAGAGGCACAACTTCCCTCTATCCTTGGTGAGGAGTAGATCCTATAAAACAACAGTAGATAAGTGGGTCTCAAACTCTATCATGCAAGAGAATCACCCAGAGGGCTTCTTAAAACACAGATTCCAGGACTCCACCTAGAGTTTCTGATTCAGCAGGTCTGGCTTTGGGCTTACTCATTTGTGTTTCTAATAGGTTCCCAGGTGATGGCTCTGGGGCCACACTTGAGAATCATTACAGTAGGTGAGGCACATACTCACATTCGCACACACACACAGAAACACTTGCAGAATGGATCAAACCTTTTTTATGTAAAAGTTTCTGTCAAAGTAGAGCTTGGAGAATGTGGAGAAAAAAAAATTAATAAAATGAGAGCTAAAGACACGTTAAAACCATTTAACCAGCTGAGAAAAGTAATGTTATAATATGATTGGCCTGGAGATGTAAATTTTGGAGACATATAGAAAATAGAAGTTTTAAGGTCAAAGAAACCTTTCCGATGCTAGGACAGAGATGGAACCATTCAGAAGCAGCTGTAATGTGGAGGTGGAGCCATGGATGAGCTGAGAAGCAGCAAGCAGTGATGTCAAGGCCCAGCGGTGGGTGGGGAGGATCCCTGCTGAAGGCAGGAGGTGCCATGAGGGGCGTGAACACAGTGTCCCTGGTGACCCGGTCAGCAGCATTGCAAAATGTTAGTGCAGCCGGCACCTGTTTTCAGACATGACCAAGGCCCCAAGAAAGAGGCCAGCAGCTAAGGGGGTCAGCGGAGCGGTGGGAAGTGGGGACCCTGAGTCAGAAGCCTGGCCTTTGTCACCCACTAGCACTCACTTAGCCTCTCCGCGATGACACAAAATGCCAACAACAGTCAGAGCTTGCCAGCTGCCCAATTGCTCTGCAAGGCTCAAAGCGCTCTTATTACCAAAAGTGAGACTAAAATGCAGATGGTACATCCAACTCAAGAGAAGCTACCCTGCCTAGAGGGTTCTGTATGCTTTGTCTCAAGTTTGAGGCAGTTTAGAGACAGATGAGCAGATAGACTTGCAGAGGGGCTGTGGAGAGACTGCACAAGGGTAGGCAGGTGAGGTAGCAGCCCCCCGCAGACCCAGTCACCTCCCTTGGCCTCTTGGTGCCTGAAATGCTGCCTTCTGATATGCTGTTCATCTGAAGACCTTTCCATGTTCCAGAGTTTCTGCTGAAAATGCAAATATCCCTGGGAGATGTGGTGCCTTACGCCCTCTAGCCTGGGGAAGCAGCTGGCCCTGGCCACCCGCACAGAGCCGGGATGTTTGGGCTCACTCTTCCTGCCTTGTGTGGCCCCTGCATATATTTTTAGCTGATTTTTCAACTTTGCAAACATCCAGGGAGGAAAGAGCAGCCAGAAAACACAGTTCTCAATATTCAGATGGAAAGAAAACTCATTTGTAGCTAATCCTAATGGTTCTCAATTCAAAAAATATGGGCTGGTACCAAGAAGATATTCAAAGATCTCACCATTTCTTGAAGCTGAGTCTTCCCTGGCCTCCATCACATATCCATGACAGTGATAGGGGGTGTGACAGGCACCAGGATTTTTAAAACTCCCCAGATGACTCTGATGGGCAGCCATGCTTGAGAACCCGTGGCCTGGTCCGCTGTTAGGGCGAGAGAAACCCAGGGCTGGTGTTCCCCTCCTCCACCTGCTCGCTGTGTGGTCATAGGTCAGTTCCCCGCAGTCTGAGTGCCCAGCGCTGTCACCTGGGAAATAGGAGGGGCAACTTCCTTCCCAGGGTAGATGTATCAGAGATAATGTGTGTGAGAGTGCCCGAGGCATGGAGTTGGTGGGGGGGGGGGGCTGGCCAAAGAGAGATGTCATTATTTGTGATTTTACTGAGGAAGAAACTGAGGCACTGAAGCTGTGCATAAACCTTGGTCTGGCTCCCTGAAAACGAGACAGTTGGAGTGGAAAATGTCAAAGGTTCCTTTGAGCTCTAGCAATGTGGAGTTCTGCAGTCAGAGGGTTGAAATGCTGGGACATCTTGAATTGTTTTGAAAGGAAAGACTCATAAACGAGGCACATAGAGCCTTAGGAAACAACCTGAATCCATGCACAGTGAAACAAAACGAAACAGAGCCTCAGCTACTGAATTCATCTCCTCCCCTGACGCCCCGTTGCCCAGGGCCTCTCATTTCCACAGACTGCAGTTGCAACCTCTTGGCCCTTCTTGGTCGCCAGTCGTTTCAGGTCCTGGGCTAATGGACGTGGCCTGGGAGTGATCAGCCAGGGCCATTACCCCTTGGACGGTGCTGTAGGCAGACCTAGGCTTCGGGACTCCTGGGCTCCTGGACCCCTGGAAGAGTGTCGAGAAACATCTGGACAGGATTTCTCAATCTGGGCACTACCGACATTTTCAGCAGTGAATTCTTTTTTCGTGGGGACCTGTGCTGTGCATGGCAGAATGCTTAGCAGCATCCTGGCCTCTACCCACGAGGTGCCAGTAGCACCCTCTTAGTGTCTCTAGGCAATACCAGAGACGTCCCCTGGGGGAAGAGAGGCAAAACTCCACCCACCAACCCCCTCCCCCCAGCCTCTCATTGAGAACTGCTGATCTGGAGGCACCCTAGTTGTCCGGAGGCGGAGGGAGGAATGGGGCTCCTTGGGGTCAATATGAATTTGTTTTGTATTCCTTGTATTTAAATCCACACAAGAAAGAGCCACTCTACAAAGGGCAGAGTTGTTTCAACTGCAGATGGACTCTTCCGGGACTAGAGGAAAGGATGGGATTTTCTTCTTCGAGGTGCTCTTTAAAAGGACACCCTGAAGCCCGGCAGCTGCAGCCAGGGATGAGACCTCACCAACCAAGGCGACGTAGGTAACAGGGCCCATGGGCCCCCAGGAGGCTCACAGGGAGGGCCCTCCCCTGGCCAGGCCTCGGGTGGGCTGGGTTTGCCGGCTATGCCCCGCCCACACTCGCCCTCCCAGCGGGCCCAGCTCCTATACCCTGCTGGGTGCGTCTTCACTGTGGTTCACAGAGAGACGTTCTCACTGCCTTGCTCTGTGGAAAAGCAGATTGCCGAGGTGGATGGGAGGGATCCCTATTTTGGAAAAATAACATATCACCGTACACACACCCACACGCAGAGGGGAAAATGTGGCAGCAGACACCAAAATATTCCTATAGTTATTGATGGAAGCTGGGATTTCAGGTGCCTTTTTTGCTTATGTTTTCTCATTTTTTGACCTTGAACATGTAGTTACTTATAACAAGAAAAAGTCATTCGAGAAAGTAAAGAAAGTAGACAGAAAATGGCACCTTAAAACCCAAACCGCCAGAAACACCACTTAGATCTCAAAAAGGCACTAGGAAAAGCCCACTTCTGGTTTTTGGGTTTTGGCAGCCACCATGCAGAGGGCGGCCCCTGGGTGCTGAGAGTTCCGGGGTCGGGAGTGGGATACAGGTGGGTAAATGAGGGGCTCCGAGAGGGTGCAGCTGCGGGCGCTGAGGACTGAACTCTCCTGGGAGCACGCGCGGGGGACAGGGAACGGCGGCCACGCCCGGGGACCGACGCTGCAGCCGGGAGGAGGCTCAGTCTCTGCGCCTGGGGGCGTCCAGGGAGATGCCAGGTGGGCGCGGCCAGACGCGGGACCTGGGGACCACGGCACCCGCAGCCACGCCTTCAGGACGCGTGGGCGGGACGGGCTCCGTGGGCTTCTGATGAGGACGGTCGGGGAGATGTCGCCTGCGCGTTTCCGGGAGCCTCCAGTGGCCCCGGTTCCAGGGGACCAGACAGAAAACAAAAGAGCAAAAGGCAGCCAAGGCCTCCAGCTAGGGGTCATCCCCGCAGCCCCGGTCCCGGACGGGGCGGGAGGCCGCTGTGGGGACGCGCCGCCGGGCCTCGCTGTCAGGTCGCCCGCGCCCCGCTCCGCCCGCCCCGTACAGGCGGCGACAGCCCCGCCTAGGCCCGCGCCTCGGCCGCCCTCTGCTGGGCGAAGCGAGCACCACGGCCGAGCGGCGGCCCCGGGAGCGCCGCGGGGACTGCAGAGCGCGGGGAAGCGGCGGCAGCGGAGGCTCGGCCTGGAAGGCAGGGGCCTTGGGGGCGTCCGGGGAGAGGGCCGGGGACATCTGTCCAGCGTGGGCCGTGCGCGGTGCCGAGCGCGCGGGGAGGGCCGAGGAGCTAGACGCGGACCCAGCTCCTCTAGGAGCCGGGAGGGATGGGAGGGACGGAGGGTAAACGGGCAGTGCCGGCCGAAGCCCGGTGGGACTCGGCGGCAGACAGACAGGCGGCTTCCGAGGGAGGACCCGGGGCCGGGCGCGGGCGGCGGGAGGCGAGGCCCTGGAGGCCTGGCGCTTCTCTGCACCGCGAAGACCCGGAGGCTTCAAGCAACAGACGCGGTTCTGGAGGCCGGAAGTCCAGAGTCAAGGTCCCCGAAGGCTGGGGGAGAGAATCTGTTCCATGCCTTTCTCTTGGCCTCTGGGGTACAGGGTCCTCAGTGTTCGGGGCTTGTCTCCCGTCACTCCAGTCTCTGCCTCTGTGGCCACATGGCCCTGTGTCCCTGTGTCTGTCTTTTCTCCTTTTACAAGGACAACAGTGGTCTTGGAGTAGAGCCCACTCTCATCAAATTTAGCTTCATTTTGGACGGGCGCTGTGGCTCACGCCTGCAATCCCAACACTTTGGGAGGCCAAGAAGGGCGAATCACCTGAGGTCAGGAGTTCGAGACCAGCCTGGCCAACATGGTGAAACCCCATCTCTACCCAAAATGCAAAAATTAGCCAGGGGTGGTGGCGGGCGCTTGTAATCCCAGCTACTCAGGAGGCTGAGACAGGAGAATCGCTTGAACCTGGGAGGCGGAGGTTTCAGTGAGCCGAGATCGCGCCACTGCACTCCTGCCTGAGCGACCAAGTGAGACTCCGTTTAAAACAAAACAAAACAAAAAAAACCTCCTGTAATCCCGGCACTTTGGGAGTCCAAGGCAGGCGGATCACCTGAGGTCAGGAGTTTGTGACTAGCCTAGCCAACATGATGAAACCCCATCTCTACTAAAAGTACGAAAAATTAGGCTGGTGGCGGGTGCCTGTAATCCCAGTCACTCAGGAGGCTGAGACAGGAGAATCGCTTGAACCTAGGAGGCGGAGATTGCAGTGAGCTGAGATCGCGCCACTGTACTCCAGCCTGGGTGATAGAGTGAGACAGCGTCCCCCTCTCAAAATAAATAAATAAAAATAAAATAAATAAAGTGTGTGTGTATACATACATAGCTTCATTTTAACTTGCTGAAAATGGAAAGGCCTGATTTTCAAAGAAGGCTTCAACACTGAAATCTTCAACACCAGGGGTTTGGACTTTAACATACCTTTTGTGGGGACACAGTTCCACATACAGCAGGCCTGTTCCAGGTGGGCGTGCAAAGTCCACAGGGCTTCACTCCCAAGGCAGAGAGAACCTTGAAAGTTGTCATGATCTCACCTCACCGGAGTGGCCCTAGAAGGCAAGAGCCCAGCCCTGAGTCCCAGCAAGGAGGATTCCAAGCACTTCCACTCCCCAGGGAGGGAGGGGGCCTGGGGACTGCTTGGGGTTTTAGATCAACCCATGTATTGTAGGCAACGATTATTTTATTCTCAAAAAACAAACATGCCACAAATATCCCTCCTTCACTTTCTTTAGTTAGAAGAGCAAGCCATGTTCACTGAGGGAAAATGGGGAAAGTAGATTATAAAGGTTTAAAATTCCAGTGCCCCATGATGGCCGCACACGAAAAGGTGCATCTGTCTACCTAAGTGGGTTGGATGTCACTGTCTGCAGTGGAATAATGCCACATGCCAACCTTTCTGGAACTATGACTTTTGCCGTCACTTTTTGAGTTTAGTTTCCTAGACTCATCAATAGGGCTGTTCTCTGAAAATATGACCTGCAGTTAGGACTCGGTGCCTCTATAAATGGCAGGTGCTTTGCTCATGTGGCTCAGAAGATGTGGAGAGTCTGGGCCTGTCTTGAGGAGGTGAGCTTGGGGAGGGTGCCCCTTGGCCACAGGCGCCACGCTCTGGCAGGACCAGGGGATGTGACCTTCTAAGGAGACACGACCCTGGTAAATAAGCAAGATAGCTGCCGGAAGAATAAGGCGGAAAGTGTCCAGAAAGGATGGGGGTGGGGAAGAGACCCAGGGGTCTCGCAGGCCAGGAGCAGGGCCAGGCTGGCTGTGGGAGAGTTGAGAAAGAGGGGGTGCAGGGGCTGCACGGAGAGGGGAGTGTGTGTGTGTGTGTGTGTGTGTACTGCTTCTTTTGAACAATGTAGAGTTCTCTATTACAATTGCTACATACCAATAGCCTTAAATGACAAACTAATCTCACAGAGTAAGATTTCAAAAAATAAAGGACTGAAATAAAGGCATGCACTGGGCTCTCTCTCATGGTGTCTTTTCCCCCCCTCCGAGATAAGAAACTTCCTTTGTTCTAACCTGGGAAGCTCAGGGATCTCCGTTCAGCCAGAACCGGAACTCTCTTTAGAGTTAAACCCACAACAGAAGAGCCTCCATTTCCCTCTTCTGCACTCCAACCAGCAGGGAAGCCCTTCTCTCCTCTGGTCCCACTCATGGCAGACAATAAGGAATGACATGGAATCTCCATTCGAGCGCATAAATACTCCAACTGTTTTCCTCCAGCCAGAAGTGACTCCACATTTCCCAGCCTCCCAGTCAAGCTAGTCCCAGCTAGCTAAGCATAATGCCCAAATATTAAACAATGCTTAAGATGAAAGTGGGGTGTCACAAACAGCCACCACTTGAGGTAAACATTTTACAAACTACACTTTAGAAACTAAACATTTACCATTTGCCATTGAAAAGTTTTCATTTCAGAGCTCAGGGTTATAGCAACCCAGGATCTTTTACAGAAGCAGAAACTTAAAGCTGAGTTGGTGCACGGGATGTTTTGTGTTGAATTTTTCACAAAAGCCAAGTCAGGATTTCAGATACCTCCAGAAATAAGAAAGCTACCATGGGAAGATTTCAGCAGTATTTATTTTTATTTACAATTTATACCCTGTCAGCTTCTAAAAAGGATTGGAGGCAGCTTCCAATAAAAGATACACGCACAATAAGATTGCTAAAATGGGAACAGAAAATTGAAAACTCATGCCAAAGAAGGAGGGAGTCAAAAAGGTGGTAAGATTATTATGACGCGAGATTAAATTTAGTTCCAAGCTTTCTGATGGCCAAAGCAAAGATGGAAATGTGGAGGCTGGCAGGCACTTCAGTATCTGAATAAAGAAAAGAAAATCATAATCCGTGTATTAGTCTTCAAGGGGTATCAGCGGGTCTCCAGTACCGTGTTCATTGGGTGACCCCTATAAGGGCCTTTGAGTCAGGTGATGGAGAGGGTCCAGCCCTCCTGCGTGTGGCAAGCCTAGGCTTTGGAGTGGGACACCCGCCGCGCCAGGCCCCAGGCAAGGGGCCCAGCCCAGCCCTCGCTGCAGAGTGCCTACTCCTACAGCTGCCTCACCCTGAGGTGAATTATCCACAAGGCCAGGGCCTCTCATTTCCTACTCAGTCAGCCCCGAGACCCCTGAGGCTTGGCCTTTGCCCTGGGTCCATCCTCTCCAGTGGCTAGCCCTGCACATGTTCATGCCTCTGGGCCTCAGGAGGGCCAGGGGCAGCCAGTGGGGTGCAGGGGAATTTGGACTGCAGGCTGGGTTGTCCACACGCTTGTTACTATAATCATTGTTATTTCTGATTCACCGTGCAATTCGGCCATTTATATTTATAATGCTATTTGAGAGATTGTGAAAAAGCAACACCACCCTGAAAACACACAGTCTTCCTCTAGGCTAGATAGGCTGCAACAGATTAGCGCTTTTCCCTCCTTCCTTTTTTTTTTTTTTGAGACAGATTCTTGCTCTTGTTGCCCAGACTGGAATGCAGTGGCACAATTTCGGTTCATTGTAACCTCCGCCTCCCAGGTTCAAGCGATTCTCCTGCCTCAGCCTCCCGAGTAGCTGGGATTACAGGTGCCTGCCACCAAGGCTGGCTGATTTTTGTATTTTTTGTAAAGATGAGGTTTCACCATGTTGGCCAGGCTGGTCTTGAACTCCTAACCTCAGGTGATCTGCCCACTTCAGCCTCCCAAAGTGCTGGGATTGCAGGTGTGAGCCACCCCAATGGCCCATTTTTCCCTTCTAAAAGGGCTTCTTACCTGCATTTGTTCAGGTCCTGTGGGTTTAGAGCTTGACATTTAAGGACCAGATTGGGCTGGGTGCAATGGCTCATGTCTGTAATCCTAGTGCTTTGGAAGGCCAAGGCGGAAGGATCGCTTGAGGCCAGGAACTGGAGGCTTCCATGAGGTGTGATCACACCACTGCACTCCAGCCTGCATAACAGAGTGAGAAAAAAAAAGAAAAAGAAAGAAAGGAAGAAAGAAAGAAAGAAAGAAAGAAAGAAAGAAAGAAAGAGAAAGAAAGAAAGAAAGAAAGGAGGGAAGGGAGGAAGGGAGGAAGGAAGAGAGGAAGGAGAAAGAAAGAAAAGAGAGAAACAAAGAAAGAGAGGAAGGAATGAAGGAAGGAGAAAGAAATAAGAAAGAAAAGAAAGAAAGAAAGAAAAGAAAGGAAGGAAGAAAGAAAGAAAGAAAGAAAGAAAGAAAGAAAAAAGAAAGAAAAAAGAAAGCCACAGAGAGAGAGAGAGTGGGGGAAGGAAGGAAGGAAGGAAACAAGAAAAGAGAAAAAAGAAAAGAAGGAGGGAGGGCAAGGAAAGGAAGGAAGGAAGGACGGAAGGAAGGAAGGAAGGAAGGGAGAAGCAATTTCTCTTTCTTCTCTGCTCTCTTGTCCCTTTATCCAACCCTCCCCTAAAATTCTCAGGACTTTCTACTCTATTATAGTTTTTTTTCTGTTTTCTTTTTCTTTTTCTTTTTTTTTTCTCTGGTATCTTCTCTCGTCTTAGAGTTTGGTCCTGTGGAGGGCAAGGACTATATCTGATGTATCTTTGATTCTCTGGGATTTACCACAATGCCCGATGCCTATAGATCCTTAATAAATGTTTGTTGTCCAAATGAAAGAATGAAAAAGATCATATCGTAAAAATAGAGATAAGTTGGGAAGATATATCGGTTATGCTGTTCTGTTGAGGGAAAGGTCATGTATTTAGAAATTTAAACTTTTGGTTATTGTGTTCACATCATAGTATACAAGCATCATTTATAGTTTGGCTTTGAGAACTTTTCTGGTATTACGTTTATGGAAAATGTATAAAAGAAACAAGTTTTGGTTATATTTTTATATTTGTAAAGTAAAAGTTTGGTTAAAGTGATCACTGTTCTTTTTTTATTTTATTGTTATTTCAATAAAAAATATTTGAAAGAGAAAAAAAAGAATCAATGAAGGCAGAGACTAAAACAACAACAACAGCAAAACCAGCGCAGCCTTGCGGTGCTGGGTGGAGCCGCGGCTGAGGGAGGAGAAAGGGCGGAGCCCGGGACGGCCGCTCTCCCCGCATTGTGTCCTGGTGGGCCTCTGAGGAGTCTGAGAATTCCAAATGTGAACCTGGCGGTCCAGGCTGCCATGAAGCTGTCTGTCAGGGAAGGAGACCGAGCGCATTTTACTCCCCAGGTTACGAGCTTGGTGGGTGACTGTTGCGCGTAACTTTTACGAAGGTGGCCGGGACCTGGGCCTGCATTCAGTCTTGCCCCGGGCCCAGCAAATGCTCAATTTCAGGCTACAGTCGTCTTTCCCTTGTAGTCTGCTGCCTGGGCCAACGGGGTGTGGGGGCTTTATAGGCCAGATGTGAGTTTGAATCCGAGCTGTGACATTTATTAGATGCGTGATCTTGGACAAAAAATTCACCTGATTTTCATTCCAGCCATGTGACCCCAGATACACTATGAATAAATAGTGCAAATGGAGGCCTCAGTTTCCTCCTCTGTACGATGAGGATATAATAGTGTCCACCTCACGGAGAGTGTGAGGATTAAATGAGTTAATATATGTAAGGTCCTTAGAGCAGTGCCTGATATATAGTAAATGCTACATAGGTGCTGTTGTTATTATCAATATTAGGATCAGTGACTGTTCCTCTCTAAGTGGGTCTTATCTAATTCTCCCTCCCGCAGGACCCCCAAGTAAAGGATCAGACCCTTGGCTGGCACCTCCCTGTGCTCAGCGGCCAGAGGTCACTGTGGAGGCCTGGAGGTGCTGTGAGACCTGGTGCCCCTTCCCTGGAACCCGAGCTGCCTCCCAGCTTCTCCGCGCGTGTGGCCCAGCTCTCACCCTCCTGCACTCGACCAGGAACAGGCCCAGTGTGGGTACTGCACCCACAGCCACCCCGACATCCAAACCAACATCTGCCCCTGGACAGACAGTGCAGGGCTCTGCTCAGGTACAGCTCTGCCATTCACTCTCATTTCTTTTCTTTTAAAAAGAGAAAAGTGGCCGGGTGTAGTGGCTCACACCTGTAATTCCCAAACTTTGGGAGGCCGAGGCGGGAAGATCATTTGAGGTCAGGAGTTTGAGACCAGCCTGACCAACATGGTGAAACCTTGTCTCTACTAAAAATGCAAAAAAAAAAAGAAAAAAAAATTAGCCAGGTGTGGTGGTGGACCTGTAATCTCAGCTACTCCGGAGGCTGAGGCAGGAGAATTGCTTGAACCTGGGAGGTGGAGGTTGCAGTGTGCTGAGATTGCACCACTACCCTCCAGCCTGAGCAACAGAGCAAGACTCCATCTCAAAAAAAAAAAAAAAATGAAAAAGAAAAAGAAAAAAGAGAAGAGCAAAATTAGAGCTGATGGGTTCTATGGGCTGTGCAGTCCACAGTACACACCCTTCCTGTCCCCAGCCGCTGGGGACCCGCAGTCAACAGCTCTGGTCCTCCTGGCTCAGGCCCAGCCGCCTCCTGCTGGCCGTCCAAGGTGGCACTTCCTAGGGATTGCCAGGGCCTCTACTCTTCCTGTCCATTCTCCAGTCGCAGTGGCCTTCCTCTGCCCCCTCAGATTACCGGGAGTTCTTAAAGGAGGGACCGTCTAATTGTTGCCGTGTCCCCACCTAGTGCTGGCCAGGCACTTGATAATTGTGCTTAGATGAATGAACGAATGACTGAAAGAAAATACCAGTTTTATATGTCACAAGCTCAGAAAACTTTATTAACTTTATATTATTGTTGCTATAGGCAAAGTGCAAACCTCTTAGTCGGCCAGTAAAGGCCTTTTATGCTTTTATGAGTGGGCCTTAACCATGGGCCTTAAGCTACCTTTTTTTTTTTTTTTTTTTTTTGAGATGGAGTCTTGTTCTGTGGCCCAGGCTGGAGTGGTGTGATCTCAGCTCACCGCAACCTCTACCTCCCAGGTTCAAGCGATTCTCTTGCCTCAGTCTCCTGAGTAGCTGGGACTGGCAGGCACACGCCACCCCGCCCAGCTAATGTTTTTGTATTTTTAGTAGAGATGAGGTTTCTTCATGTTGGCCAGGCTGGTCTCAAACTCCTGACCTCAGGTGATTCGCCCGCCTTGGCCTCCCAAAGTTCTGGGATTACAGGTATGAGCCACAACACCCAGCCTTTAACGTGCCTTTCTGACTCATCTCCTTCTCTCCGTCTTGCCTATCCCACCACCCACTGCACCGTGGTCTCGGGCTCACTGTGCCACCAACAAGTCTTCCTCTTGGCGCCAGCTTCTTCTGCTCCTCTGAGCTTCTCCTGCTCCTCTCTGCCTCATCTCCCAAAGCCCCTTCCTCTTTGGCCTCTTCCAGGTCATTCTCTCTGACTCTCATCTGCACTGTCCTCTCCCTTTCTGGGGTCATCAGCCACACCAAGGTCTTGGTCAGTTAACTCAGCGTGACCTTGTCTGCCTCTCCAATTATATCATAAACAACCTGTGGACCGCACCTTGGGGGGCCTTCCTAAGTGCTCCCCATGTCTTTCCGCATGGCTCCTGAAGGGGTCCAGGGTCTCGTGTTGTCATGTGCCTGTGCTTCTGCCCACTCCTCGGGTGCTCACAAGGGTAGGGCTGCCTGGGTGACAGTACGGCCTCCTGCAGCTGCGGGAGAGGGAGTCCAGAGGTGGCAGGAGAGGGAGTCCAGAGGTGGCGGGAGAGGGAGTCCAGAGGTGGCGGGAGAGGGAGTCCAGAGGTGGCGGGAGAGGGAGTCCAGAGGTGGCGGGAGAGGGAGTCCAGAGGTGGCGGGAGAGGGAGTCCAGAGGTGGCGGGAGAGGGAGTCCAGAGGTGGCGGGAGAGGGAGTCCAGAGGTGGCGGGAGAGGGAGTCCAGAGGTGGCGGGAGAGGGAGTCCAGAGGTGGCGGGAGAGGGAGTCCAGAGGTGGCGGGAGAGGGAGTCCAGAGGTGGCGGGAGAGGGAGTCCAGAGGTGGCGGGAGAGGGAGTCCAGAGGTGGCGGGAGAGGGAGTCCAGAGGTGGCGGGAGAGGGAGTCCAGAGGTGGCGGGAGAGGGAGTCCAGAGGTGGCAGGAGAGGGAGGCAGCCATGGAGGGTGACACCCACTGATGCATTTCTCAGTCCAGTGAATGCAGTCACTTTGGATTTGTGAGAATTGGGACCAGTGTTACTGCCACTATCTACAGAGGCCTCACAAGGTTGTCTGTGCTAGCAAGTGAGTGATTAGCAAAGACGCACTCCTGTGACACATTATGTTGAAAGTGCCATCATCAGAACCACACCACAGGGCAGTGGTTCTCCGGCAACGGCAGCCTCGGGAAACTTGAGAGAAACACAGATTCTCCAGCCCCACCCCAGACCAAAGAAATCAGAAGCTCTGGGGGTGGGGCCAGGAACCTGTGTTTTAACCATCTCCCCAGCTGATTCTGATTCAGGCTAAAGCTGGGTGTCAGGCGAAGGGTGGGCAAGGTCTGGAGGCCCAAGCATTTGAGGAACCTGCCCTGATGGTGTAAATAGTGTGCTGTGGGAGGTGCACCCGCCCTGATGGTGTAAATGGTGTGCTGTGGGAGGTGCACCCGCCCTGATGGTGTAAATGGTGTGCTGTGGGAGGTGCACCCGCCCTGATGGTGTAAATGGTGTGCTGTGGGAGGTGCACCCGCCCTGATGGTGTAAATGGTGTGCTGTGGGAGGTGCACCCGCCCTGATGGTGTAAATGGTGTGCTGTGGGAGGTGCACCCGCCCTGATGGTGTAAATGGTGTGCTGTGGGAGGTGCACCCGCCCTGATGGTGGGAATGGTGTGCTGTGGGAGGTGCACCCGCCCTGATGGTGGGAATGGTGTGCTGTGGGAGGTGCACCTGCCCTGATGGTGTAAATAGTGTGCTGTGGGAGGTGCATTTGGGGTGTTATTCTGCTAACTGACTAACATCAAATCCAGTGGGCCAGCAATCCAGCTTGGGGGCTTTCAGGAGCAGGGTGCTGCGTGAACCCTCATTTAACCCTCCCTACAATGTGGTGCCACGGGAGTGCATGCACCTGTTTCAGAGATGAAGACAAAAGGCCCTCATGGAGTCATTTGTCCCAAGCCATCCTGGTTGTCTGTGGTGTGCCCATGGGTGGAGGGGCCCCGGCGGGAGATTAAGGCTGTGTATTAGGGTTCTTGAGAGAGACAGAACCAATAGTATCTGTCTGTCTACACCTATCTAGATAGCTAGATGAGAAGGGATTTGTTGGGAGAATTGGCTCACACATTTGTGGAGGCTGAGAAGTCCCACCACTGGCTGTCTCCAAGCTGCAGACCCTGGGATGCTGGTGGTGAGGCTCAGTCCAAGTCCGAAGGCCTGAGAACCCAGGGGCCACGGGTGTAAGTCCTGAAGTCCAAAGGCTGGAGCGCCTGGAGTTCTGATGTCCAAGGACAAGAGAAGAAGAGCACCCCAGCTCCAAGAGGGAGAGACACCAACTCGCCTTTCCTCTGTTTTTGCTCTCTCTGGGCCCCCAGTTGATTGGATGGTATCACTCACATTAAGAGCAGATCTTCCCCACTTACTCCACTCAGACTCACGTGCCAGTGTCCTCTGGAGACACTCTCACAGACACACCCCAAAATAATGCCTCATCAGGTTCCTGGGTACTGCTTCATCCAGTCAAGCAGACACCTAGAATTAACCATCGTGGTTGGGAGGCTGGAGGAGGCCTGAGCGCTGGGGCCAGGTGGCAGAGGAGCTGGAGTGAAGGGACACAGATCTCGCCTTCACCCACCAGTGGCCCTGGGGACTGCTTTCAGGGCGCACTGCCCGTTACACAGGTGCTCGAATTGTAAAGAGTGTTTCAAATGTTTACAATGGCAGGTTTGTCATGAAGCAGTGTTAGCTGCAGAGACAATGTTTCTGACATAGAGCAGTGCTGAATAGACTGTTAATAACTAGTGGGAAATGGACGAGGTTTGGGAAGTGACTGCTCCAGGTCCAGGAAGGACGCTCCTAGCTGAGCAAAGGGCATTGGGCAGAACTCACAGGCCTTCACCGGGGCCCAGAGCATGGGGCTCCGGAGAGCAGGCTGCCTGCTGGGAAAAAATCAACAACTTATCTGAAGGGAAAAAAGGCAGATTGTCGGCACAGCAGAACAGGTAAAAACATTTAATTGCGCACACATTGCCGTGTCACTGGTCAACATGTCCTTGTTCTGAAAAAGGAAGGAAACAGGCTGAGGCTAACTGAACCTGCCAGGAGGCTGTTCATCTGCCTTATCCTCTCCTCTCGGGACAGCTGGGGCTGGTTCTGGGATAGGACCCACCCCGGGGACCCCTGAAGGATATTTGAAGAAAGTTCTGGAAGTGGGGGTGCAGGACACCCAGAGAAATATGAGAAGTCATCAAAAACCCAAGGGCTGTGAGCCCCTGCCCTGCCCTTCTTCCCGCTAAGAGGCTGGGGAGATGCCACAGTTTGTAGCAAGTGGGCCACGAATGCTCCTTTTCTGATGAATGGAATCAAATTCACGTCTTGCTTTTCCAGGTGTTCTGTGCAGCAGGAGAAGGAACTGTCAGGAAGAAGATAAAGTCTAGGTGAGTCCGAAGGCTGAGGCCCAGAAGGAGGTGTGATAACTTTTTCTGGCAACCAAGGGTCAAATAAAGAGAAATGAGATGAGGGAGCTGCAGCTCGGGGAAGCCAGCGCCCCAGCAATGCTGCTCCCTGATTGGAGGAAACTTGGATTTAGCGGCATGCACAGGAAGCTACCAAATGGCTTTAGAAAGGTTTCCTGGGAAGCCACGCCTGTAATCCCAACACTTTGGGAGGCAGAGGCGGGTGGATCACCTGAGGTCAGGAGATAGAGACCAGGCTGACCAATATGGTGAAACCCCATCTCTACTAAAAATACAAAAATTTGCCGGGCATGGTGGCGTGCGCCTGTAGTCCCAGCTACTCCGGAGGCTGTGACAGGAGAATTGCTTGAACCCGGGAGACGGAGGTTGCAGTGAGCCGAGATGGCGCCACTGAACTCCAGCCTGGGTGACAGAGCAAGACTCTGTCTCAAAATAAATAAATAAATAAAAAAATTAAAAACTCTGAGGCAGCAGAGTTGTATACTTCCTGAGTACTGCAACTTAGCTCCTTGTCCTTATTGGGGATGCCACAGTCTTCGAGAAGGCTTCTGCCTCCCTTTGGCCTGCTTGTCACTAGCCAATGCTGGATATCACCACTGAACAGCATGGCACTGAGTTCCCAGCCTTAAGCCTTGAGATGGCATAGCTCTTTGGCCACAGGGCAGTTACTATGAGCACTGATTTAGAAGTTTGGAGCCACAGAGAATAGTCATAAGATTCTCAGCCTGTCATGTATTTGAGAGAGTGGTTTTTAATTTTGGTACTTAAAGCCCAGGCACGGAGTAGGACATTACATATTGATAATGGAAGGGATGATATTAACCTGGCAGCCCGAACTTTTCTAATAACTCCCGCTGCCTCCTGGCAGACACAGCCCAGGAAAAGCAGCTGCCCTGGGGTTTGTCAGGCTAGGTAATTAACGTGTGATGGCACTCCACTCAAAATGACTTAGCGTCTTGTGAAAAAGATAGAATGCTGAAGCTCGTATCAAAGGCACAAATTGGGTAGATTAGGTAGAATTACTGGACTTTCTAGGGTATATTAGGTTCACTGGGAAGCGGACGGTGGGTTGCTTTCTGTCTAGTTTCTTTGATGAATGTGACCAGGCGACCCTGGCCCAAGATATTTCTGTGTGCCCTGCCTGATCCTAGGCACTCTCTGTAAAACTTCAACTTAGGTTCTCTGGCTACAAAATAAAACTCTCCACCCCCGGAGATGAGGACAAAGCCTGACTTCTAGGTGGTGTTGCTGATACTACAAGTAGGAAGACAGCGAGGTTTCTAAAATGAAGGGAGAAGTGCAGGGATTTTTTTTTGAGGTCCTTTGCTTTTAGGGACAATGCCCTCCATTCATGCCTCCAGTGCCTGAGCAGGGCACTGGCCCGTCCCGTGCAGCAAGACCACCACCTCCTCCTCGGTCGGATGCAGGGCCACTGAGTATCATCTGTCTGTAGGGATCATCCTGCAGGTCTGTGTATTTCTTTCTTCCTGCTCAGTAGGTCAGAGCTGGTGAGTGCAGTGGGATCTTACCAGGTGGCTTTTCATTTTTGAACTATCCGTTCACAGGGCTGGCAGTTAGAAACGCCTAACCTTGCAGCCTCTGGCTGTAAAAGCCCAGGACACCCCCAACCCCAACCCCCGCTGAAATGACTTTTTCCTCATTTTCATTTTGATGTAATTTTCCTTGAGTTTTGGTGGGAAAGGCAAATGTGGCCAGCACAGAGAAGGCAAATGCCAGTCTCCCAGGACCTGGTCTCACACACAGCCAAGTGGACGCTTGGGTCCTCTTCCCAGGGAGGAGCTCCTCCCTCCCCTTTCCCTTCCTTCCCCTCCTCCTCCCTTCCCTCCCTTCTGTCCTCCCTCTCCTCCCTCCCTTCCTTCCTATCTTCTTTCTTGAGTCCGCTAAGGGCTATGATGGGCTTAGTCCTGAACCCGAAGAAACAGTCCAAGGTGAACGCCCTCTTCCCGTCAGGGCTGTGGATGTTTCTCTAGGGTCTCACCTGAGTCTGCGTTTTCCAACCCAGCCCTTCACCCCGGCTCCTTCAGTAACATTTAGAATATTGAGAAGTGAAAGCTAACCATGCTCATTGAAGAATATGGATTCCACCCCAACTCCGAGCCCTTACATTTTCACAGTTCCCAGGGAAGATCTCTGTATGTGGGAGACACTTGGAAAGACAGGAGAACCTGGGATGCGGGCTGGTATGCTGCAGAGCCCCACCCTGGCAGGTGGAAGTGCGGTTTTCCCTCCCACTCCCGATAAACTTGAACCCGGCCCTCCTGCAGGCATTCTCCACTGCGGAGCCAAGCCTCCCTGTCACTCACTGCATCACATGCTGCATCCAAGCATCCCTGTGAAATAGGGAGTTGAGACACTTGGTCATGTGCTGATTCCACAGATACTTTACACCCATTTGTCATGAGTCTTTGAAAACAGAACCAGAGGTGGCTCACGAGCAAGCTGAGTGCAGAGGTTTTCTCAATCCTTATCTTCTGACAAGGGGTCTTATTTTAGTTTTTATGAGATTTACTCACTAGAGTTGTCTTAGCTGCAGAACCTCTGTCCTGACTGCAAGAAGGATCTGAGTAGCTGTGGCCGCCATGGCCTGATGGGAGATGGAAGGACACAGGGAGACAGTGGCTGCAGGGACGGTCTACCCCCTGGTAACACTCCCCAAAGGCTCTGGATGGAGAGGTCTGCCACGTAGCCTCTGCTCCAGAGTAGGAAACATGGTGGGGGATTCAGCCCCTACAACAGGGTCAGTCGGAGAAGACAGCCAGCAGCAATAAAATAAACACATTCCCACCACCCAGCTTGGCAGAGCAAAGGAGCAAACTGCAGTTTGGCACAGCTCTGTACAGACCACCAAAATCAAGCTTTCTTTTAGAAACTCAGTTTTGCCAACTTGTCCTCTGAAGGCAGGGCATGCACGCGGGAGCGCCGGAGACTCGCCCAGGGCCGGCAATGTGGACATCGCCTGGAGGTGTCCTGTGGAGGGTCACCTATTAGGCTGCAAACCTGGAAGGCCACTCTGAGCCTGGGGTGTCAGAGGCAGCATGAGGGTACGGTTTTTGAGTGTTTTCAGATGAGCAGGTAATAGGTGTTATGAACATGCCAAGCTTTCTCAGTTTGCCTGACTTAGCTTCTTAGGAGAGTCCATTAAGAATGAGCTTTATCCTTATGTCTTTAAGTACATTTAATACATTCACCTTTTTTTTTTTTTAAAGTAAGGGATCATGCCTCATCAAACAGTAATGAAACAAAGGCCTCGAGCCAGCTTCTCTAAGAAATATAAATCAAGGTCCTAAATCACTTCACTAATACTTGGGTGGGAAAGTTGAAACGATATGTGCTTCTTGGTAGCTGTGATTCTAATTTTCTCCAAAACTGAGTTATCTGCCATCACACAAAATTTGCTAACAGCCTCACTCATTATTACAGATTCATGTCACTGCTTGTGAGAGATGCTTGCTTTCCTCTTCTATGCTCACAAAATCGCAGCCTTGGGCAATTAATCCTGATAACACCAAGAGAGACCCAAATACTTGCTATATCATTTAATGACTCTTGGCAGAAAGCAAAAACACTTCACTTGAACATGGTATTATAAAAATATGTATTTTACTAACTTTCATAGGAAATTTAACTATTTGATGAAATGCCTTTGTATGTTACCTGATTTTCATTTGTACTTAACAATTTGTCTTAAAGATGATACATAAAAATGAGATGAAAATATATAACCTTCCCCATAAACCAAGATTTAATCTTGGAGATTAAATGTTGCCCCAAGTGAAATAGCTAAATTCAATGGATTTTAATTACTTTTATCCCCATGGGCTCCCCGTCCCCCCACCCCCACCTTAATTTCTTCTATTTTCCCCTTAGATTGCAATGATTAATTTGCAAGTTTGGTCCCATACTATCCATGAAACTAAACAAAACATGTGACAGCCCAGGTGATTCGATGCCACCTTTTGACTAAGCAGGCAAAGTGCCCTTAACGCCAGCCTGGGCCCATGCCCTGACGCGAGGGTGGTGGTGGAGATGGCCCACGACCCTCTCAGCAGCCACATGCTTCCATGCCCTTGGGCCATGGTCCTCCTGGTGATGGGCTGCCGGGCGTCTTCGGAGGCAGCTCCCGTCCCCCACTTTCCACTCTCAGGTTGTCCTGAACCCACACTTTCTTGACTCTGAATATAACAGCAGCCTATGGACTCCTTTTCACAGGGCAGCAGCAACTTACCAGGATACATGTTTTCCCTTGAATGAATCCTGGGGTCTCGGAAGCCACTCCTCCCTGCCCGTGCTTTCTCTAATAGCTCTTTTGGGCGCTGAGACTCTAAGTGTAAAGCTTAACACTCACCCAGTGGAAGCAACAGCCTTACCGAAAGCCTCCTTAATGTTGGCTTAGACAGGAAATGGAAATGGCCTGCGTTATCCATCCTTTAAAGCATTTCTAGTGCTCAGCCTCCATGAAATGGATTGCTTATAGGGAGATAATGTCTGTTCTATTCCTTTTTAAGTCTGTGAAAAATGTCATCCTGGTTAATAGGGTGATTAAAACTCTTTATGCTCCAGGAGATAAATGTGATTATGTTTGTCATACTCAACCCAAGATAAAGACAGCAAAGAAGGCAAACTTGAAATTCCATCACATTTCCTCTCTTCCATATCCAGGGACATTCAGAGCTCAATACACAGATGGTACGTCTCATAAAGAATAACATTATCTGTTCAACATTTTTCCTTTCCATTAACCAATTTAACAATATGCCTCTGGTACAAAAGGAATAGACAAATGACGAAATCTACTGATATTCAAGTTCTGACTGTGAAAAACACCACTTGAGTCATACTGCTTGTTTTCTTTTTAAATTTCCATCTGTGCATTACTTCACCTTTGCTTTTAAGATGCAATTGGAGCTGACGCTTGGTCCCTCTTTTAGGGAATTTGTCCCTGCCAGCCTCCCCTCTGCAGGGGATTCATCATCATTCTAATGGGAGTTCCCCTGCCATCGGTCAAGGACAGCAGAGGTGACATATAAGGGTTTTGTAGACACGAGGCATGCCACTCTAGTATTAGGACACTCTTTCAGCAACATATGTCTAGGCCTCCTCTGTGCCAGCCCTGTGGGAAAGCAGAGCCCCCACCATGGCCCCTGGCTCCTTCCTAGGGCCTAGCTGCCATCAGCCTGATGTGCAGCAGCCTCTGCAGCGGTGCTGACACCAGTTTACAAGGCCCTGAGAGGGGTCCCTGCCCTTCGGGAGGTTACAAGGCAGGAATCCATTAACAGAATCAGTTAACAATGATTTCTCCTTTTAACACTCCAGACAGGTGGGCAAGTCTCCTTTCTCCACCCAGTGGAGGCCTTTAGAAACCACTAGGCATTCTCCATCTATGAAAAATAAAACCCAGATTCTAGCTGTAAACAGTTTTAGGTAGTGCCCATTCTTTTTCCCCCCACATCAAACGAGTAAAGTGCATCGTTGTAACAAGGTTTGAGGGCCATCTCATGCACGTTGGAAACCCACATTTATGAAGCACAAAAGGATCAGGCGGTGCCCATTCTATTCAGAGGAACCTAGATTCAGACTAATTGTATGGACGAAAACCTGTTCCTTTGGCTCCTGCCTTTCCTTCCTTTCATTCAAAGCCTACAGATCTCTTCTCAGAGGAGATTTAGTTACAAATGAAAGGCAGTGAAGAGTTTTTGCTACCCGCATTCACTGACCAATTTCACAATCCTTTCCTTTCAGTCTTGGATTTTTAACAGATTACATATGAATTCCAGATGCTGATTACACCTGTTTCATTAACAATACAGCAATTTTAACAGGGTAACATGGTCTAGAGAAAAGTATTACATTAAGTTCTTGTCATTTCATTTAAAAATCTCCCTTAGAATAAAAGGTTTCATGATAACAGAAATTTCAAATGTCCTTTATTAAACCTGATTGCTGACTAATTAGAGCCTAGGCAAGTAGGAAGAAATTGCACAACTGATATTTAACTACAGGTTTTTTCTCTGGACATATTGACATATTAAAGTATTTCTCTTCTTGAAAATATTTTAAAATACAATTGCAGTAAAAACAATTGCATGTAGACATTATTCTCCATCTGTTTTTTTTGTAGGAGACTGTGGAAGACAGGAGGGAGTTGGGCGTGCACACAGAATTTACCCTAACAGCTTTGTTAGGGAGGTGGTCCCAAATACTTTATATTGGGACTCCGTACTCAGGTGACTTTCTGGTTAAAAATATTGAAGACGGATGACAACTGGGCTTTTTTTACTTTGACAACTGAGACAAAATGACAAATTGTCAGTGTTCAGAGATCCAGACCAACTTCTCAAAAAAATATGTTTACCCCTGATATCATCATTATTTTAGCCCAACTGTGCCTTTTGGGGTGATCACAACTCATTACTGGCTTTTTGTTTTAAGTATAAGAATTTATAGGGCCTTCAAGCAAGGGCATCAGGTAAATAACTAGCATGTGTGTGATGGCTGTAAAGCACAGACCACATTTAGGACCCGAGAGCCACACCCACTTCCTACCATACAGGACTTACCAGGTGACTGTCACTTTGTAGTCTGGCTAATCAGAATAAGACTTCCAAGTTCTGTCATATATTGACAAGAAAGGCTCTTGAAACTCCTTTAATTAGACACATTGCAGTACTATTGCTATTAGGGGGTCTGTTTTATAAATATTTTCTTATCATACTTTTATTATAAACTTTTTTAGTATGAAATTTGCTTCAACTGTTACAAACAGAATCATTTCCTATGGGGTCCCCTCCACATAAGGAAGTTATTCCTGTAATTACTATTTTTAAATAGTCTTCTTAACTGTGGGAAAACTTTACCCTCCCCCAGCACGCACACACATACTCTCCTGTGATGAGGCTGAATGCTATCCAGTGCACTGGTTCAGTCAGCAATCTGCCCATGTTCCTGGGAGAAATCAGTCCCAGTCCTTTTGCTGTCATGGTGTCTCCAGAGCCACCCCTTTCTGTAACAAGCATTTTGAAATTCATCCATGCTCATCTCATTTGGATTTCAATGTTTCCTCCCACTCAACAGCCGATTCGGAGTTCTTGGGAATTGTTGGAAATATTGATTGCATTTTACTTCGAAAGTCGTTCATCTAAAAGAAGAAAAATAATCAGTTATCAAATGTTAAAAGAAGGAGAAAAACAGCTATTAGAGATGGCACCTTTGCTGACTGGCTAGTACTTCACTGCTCACAGATACAGAGCTAAGGAACATCAATAAAAGATAGGGACTATATATATCCTAGGTATCTTGAAAGAAAATGAAATATACTTCCTTTCTTCTTCTGAGTATAAATTTATTAATAAATAACATAAAACTTCACTCTTAGCTGGACATGGTGGCTCACACCTGTAGTCCTAGCTACTCGGGAGGCTGAGGTGGGTAGATTGCTTGAGCCCAGGAGTTTGAGTCCAGCCTGGGCAACACAGCAAGACTCTATCTCTTTAAAAACAAACAAACAAACAAACAAACAAACAAACCACTCTTAATCTGCAAGGCAACATGTCCTAAACCGTCAACTCTCCATAATAATTATTCCCTCCCAGAAGAAGAGTGTGTATTGTTGGCTTTCATATATAAAGATGCCATTGAGGATGGGATTTCTTTCTGAATAAATAAATATAATTAGGTCATTCAAAGCTAGAATTTTAGACACAGAAATGGCAGACAGAAGAAACTTAGGAGTTTCGTCAAGAATAAATCAAGGAATGGTAGATAAACTGGAATGTTCTTATGTGCAAGACAGTGGTTTTTTTTTTGTTTTTGTTTTTTTAAATCTAGGTAGGAGTTTTACAAGCAGTTGATTTGGAATCAGAGTCACAGCAAGGGAACAAGAGATTTTTTTTTCTTTTTTTGAGGCAGTTGCCTAGGCTGGAGTGCAGTGGCACAATCATGGCTAACTGCAGCCTCAACCTCCCGGGCTCAAGTGATCATCCCACCTCAGCACCCCCAAGTAGCTGGAACTACAGGCATGTGCTAACTTTTGCATTTTGGGTAGAGATGGGGTCTTGCTATGTTGCCCAGGCTGGTCTCAAACTCCTGAACTCAAGCAATCCTCCCACCTCGGTCTCCCAAAGTGCTGAGATCACAGGCGTGCACCACCGCGCCCAGCCTAAGAGATCTTAACATGCAGTGTCACACAGTATTACAGTTTACCTGGAGCACCTGGGTCCACCTAAGGCGTACAACCCCATAAGGTGGGAACACTAACTTACAGAAGTTAGGTGATCTTTACATTGGACAGTACTAGTAACACACTCCCTGATTCATCCTGGTTAATCTATACGGTCCTCCTACGAAGACATTTCAGCAGCACCACAGTACTGCCTTCCAATTTTTTCTCATCAGCCATCTGCCAGTCATATTTTCCTAAGGATAGAGATAGCCTTGATCAGGTTTGTGAAGTATGCTGGACTCATATGCAACATGCAAGTCATTTCTTTTTTTTTTTTTTTTTTTTTGAGACGGAGTCTGGCTCTGTCGCCCAGGCTGGAGTGCAGTGGCGGGATCTCGGCTCACTGCAAGCTCCGCCTCCCGGGTTCACGCCATTCTCCTGCCTCAGCCTCCCAAGTAGCTGGGACTACAGGCGCCCGCCACTACGCCCGGCTAATTTTTTGTATTTTTAGTAGAGACGGGGTTTCACCGTTTTAGCCGGGATGGTCTCGATCTCCTGACCTCGTGATCCGCCCGCCTCGGCCTCCCAAAGTGCTGGGATTACAGGCGTGAACCACCGCGCCCGGCCGCAAGTCATTTCTTAGAGTGGTTATTTTGAGAATCAGCTAATATTTCTTTAATGTCGATGCTTATTTATTTCAATTTGAGGCTGAATCTTTACCTTGTTTCCAGATTTAGGGGTTTGGGACTTGTAAATCCTAGGCATTTACTCCTAGCACTGCTGCAAACTGTAGCACTGCTGTCAGCAGCATGGACTCTGTTCAGATCCTAGCTCCACCATTTGGGAAAGCTGCTTACTCTATTAAGCCATACTTTCCACATATGTAGAATGGAGACAGTAATTACCTGCTTAAAGAGTTGTGAGGATTAAGGACTAAGTGAGATGATGCATATAAAGCACAGCATCTAACACATGGAAAGTGCTCAATATACATTAGCTATTATCATTGCTGTATTATCGACATATGTGTGCTATATTCCAAGAACAAAGCTCACATGGATATAAATATTATGGAATGTCTGTTAAGTACATTACTTTATAGCTATATATCTTTTTAGTTTACATATTCTGTCACTGGAAGATACGTAAGGTCTTCCTTCCATATTACATATTGTCTGTATCTGTGCCAGCCATCTCAGTGTTCTGGACCCAGACACTAATCTTGAAGACACACAGCTCATGGATGTCTCCCTCCCCACTCCCTCTTCCATAAAGAATTAATTGCTTTGTCCAAAACATTAATATCACCCCCACTGAGGAACTTTGCATAGACTTTTGTAGTTGAAAAACAGACATCTCTCTGGCCAGGGTTGGCAATGTGCTGCCTGGTTCTTTCTCTTCACTCTTCTGGTTGAACATCTTTTACAACGAAGCCAGATGACAATTTTCAAATGGGATGTCAGATAGCCAAGACATGAACAGAATCATTCACCAGTCTCCCTTCCAGTGGTCTGGAATGTGGTCAGCTGCTGAGAAGGGAGAGGCTGGGAAATGCAGGTGAGGCCAGGGGAGGAGAGCAAGGGGCGGTCCTGCTCTCCTTCGGCAGGGTTACGTTTCCATTTCCTCCTCTTGGCCTGATTGTTTTCTTTCCTCTAATTTCTCAAATATTAAATTATTTACTTGTGCCCAGGGTCATGGTAACTGAATCAATAGAAGCACTCTATCTGAAAAGTAACTAACTAGGAATAGACAGGCCTGAGATGAGGGAAAGGAACGGAGATGGGTAAAGGGTACCATCTATCCCTGTTCTCTAAGTTTACAGCTGTGGAAATCGAAACGCAGACATTTAAGATATAAACAGGGCCTCAAGTGGCTTTAGAGAATGGGCTCCACAGAAGGCTTTTCAGCTCATACTGTTCATATTACATGGACAGTAAATGAAAACCTTCACATCGTTTCCACCTATATCAATTTCTGATATGCAGTTCAGAAAAGGTATTGGTTTGACCAATGATTCTCTATACATGAAGCCAACAGAACATTTCCCTGTTTAAAGATGTGCTTGAAAAGATTTAGGGGTTGAGTGCATTTAAGCAAATTTGGTTATAAAGTAAATGTACTGAATTCCTTGATAATCACAGCTACTGCCATAGAACTGACTGCCCTGTACCCCAAAAGTCTGGTGGGGGGTATGCTGGGAACTAGAGTACCCATCCAGCAACTCCGTTTCACTCCCAAGCATTTTCCAAACTGTAGTTCTCTCTTCTTTCCTCTGACCAGGGAAAATTTTCCTATACTATGGATAACAGGGTTACCCTTCCAAGCAGTGCTGCTGTGCCCTGCACACCTCCAGGGGGTGCTTTCCATAAAAACTAAGACATGAGTGGAGTGTGGTGGCTCACGCCTGTAATCTCAACACTTTGGGAGGCCTAGACAGTTGGATCACTTGAGGCCAGGAATTCGAGACCTGGCCAACGTGGTAAAATCCCGTCTCTACTAAAAATACAAAAATTAGCCAGGCATGGTGGCGCACGCCTGTAGCCCCAGCTACTCAGGAAGCTGGGGAAGGAGAATTGCTTGAACCCAGAAAGTGGAGGTTGCAATGAGCCAAAAGCATGCCACTGCACTCCAGCCTGGGCCACAGAGTGAGACTCCATCTCAAAAGAAACCAAAACTAAACAAAACCAAGACATGAATGGTACTCCCCAGTGCCGTGGGCCCACCATCCTCATCTAAGACATGAGTATTACTCCCCAGTGCCGTGGGCCCACCATCCTCATTTCTAAGTCCCAATGCTTTGTGTCCAACAGTGCTGCATTGTCATAGTCACAGAAAGTACCACCATCTGAGGTAGTAGTGCTCAAATGGAATGTCAAGACAAATGGAAAATGTATTACAAGTAATTTGTCACAAATATGGATGTTCTGTAGATACAATGGCCTTTTTAGACATTAAAACAGATTCAGGATTATGCCTCTAATAATGTTATTCTCGTTCACATTTCAATAGGCCATATAGCCAGTAGGCCAGGAGTGAGGCCAACCACTGATGCCACTTAGAGAGTCCTTACTGTATGCCAGCCATATTTCTCATTTAACCCTCCCAACAACCAAGTGGGGCAAATATCATCCCTCCTTTAAAGCTATGGTGATGGAAGCTCAGAGAAACGAAACAATGTGCTCAGTGCCATGGCTGGTAAGAGCAAATCTGACTGCACAGCCTATGTGCTTACTGTGTATCCTGCTTGAATATGCACAGGGGACACTGCTGCACATTTACCATGCATGTCTTGGTAGGGGAAAAACACTTGAAAACATTTGGTCTAATATACAGTATGCTGAAAAGTTACTTAAAAGCCTCAGGTTATGTCCCCAATTTAATTAATTTCAGAAAGTCCTTAAGCATCAATTCCAATAAATAGGCAGTTGTTGGAATTACAAGCTCTCAAATTCCGCAGCTGAGCTCTCAAAAGCTCCTAAAACCGCCTAGAACTGAAACCACCACTCTTCTCTTCCCACTTTCAAGGAGCCCAGCACATCAGTGAGTCCCATTATATGACACTGCTTCCTGAGAAATCAACATTTCTAGATGTTTTCAATAAAGCAGTATGGGAGTTCTGGTCAGGGTAGAAAAGGGTCAGTGTTTTGGAGGATCACCATCATGCTTGATAAAATTCAACTAAGCAGGACTGGCCTGGTTTAGAGGGCAGATACTGATATTTTCACTTTTGACTAGTTTTGTTGCTATCCACATGGATCCTGAGATGAAATGTATTTGAACATACCGTATTATTAAATATTCAACTGCATTAGGAAAGCGAATGTGAATTTTTACATCTCAGCTTTCCATTTTCTAAGCTACTAATCCTATTATTTAGATAAATGTCAGACAAACATTTTTACTTTCTCCCCAACTTTCACTGTATCACATGCATAAAGTCCAAAATCTGTAGTAAAGTCAATTGATTTAGAAATACAAAGCACACATGTAACTTTCTGAGAAATACAATCCCTGAAGTATGCATCAAAATGGCCAATTTTTATGACAGTAATTAACAATCAGGCACAAATTCAAAAGCAAAAACTTTCTGTAAACATGAAATAAACTGAAGAGCGGAATAACCCAGGAGGCTCTTAGAGCCAGGGCCACTCTGAAGCTAAGATCCTGCTCAGTAAGAACAATTTCTAACATGCTTCTTGATTTAATGCGCTAACAGGTCAGGTTCTCAGGAGCGATTCTAAAATGATTTTTACTCAGTCAGGCTTTATTTTTAGTAACTGCAAAATTTAGGGAAGTTTCCTTTCCCGGCCAAACAAACAACAGTAACTATACCACCTCTGACTGTCAAGCCTCTTTCTAAAAGCTTTCTGAATTACTGCGTTAAACATTTTATAACAGCTACCATCAGATCACTATTTTCATATCTTAACCAAATGATCCTGCTTCACTGGTGTGCGCACATACACAAGTGTGTGCATGTACACACATGCCCAACATGCAGCTGCAGTCCCCACTTCATGTCTTTTTAACGACCCAGCTGAAAGGCCGTCCCAGAGGAAATGAAGGCGGTTTCAAGATGGGTCCATTATAAAAAATACCTGTACGTATATACTTTTATTTTTACATTGTAGAGGAAGTTACCACTTTTTTACAGCATATAAATGAACATAGGTATAAGCCAGCAAGAAGAAAGCATGTATCTAATGAAAATAATCAGAATATCTAGAACACAATAAATACTTACATCCTACTTTTTGGGAACCAAATGCCAACTACATATATAACAAGGCAAGTGCTGCTACATCAGGGGTACCAAAAACACTTTCTTTAGGAATTGTAAATAAGTATCACCCAGCACCTGGATGCTAAATAAAAGAGCTGGAGGACTAAATAAATAGGTAAGTCATTTTATCCACTTTCCTGTTTCCATATTTTAGGAATTTAAGTTTATTCAAAATTTTGATATATAACCCTATATCTATGATCTCTTCAATAATTTCAGAATGGTAGTTTTAGACAACTTTAAAGCTTCAGTTCCTTCTGAATTTCTCAAAGTGTTTTTGCACTCTCTTTCAGGGGGGCCTCCTCTTCAGGGGTCAGCTTTCCCAGGACACAAGGAATATTGAGGAATACTTCTTCATCTATTCCACAGAGACCCCTAATGATGGTGGAAACTGGATGTGTTCTCCTAAGATTCTTCAAAATACTTTCTGTTAAATCAGCTACAGATAGGCCAATGGCCCATGAAGTATAACCTTTCATTTTAATAATCTCATAGGCACTAGCAATCACTTGTGGACATTTTTCCATTGTTCAGGATCTTTATCAGTTCCTGTATCAGAGTTCAGATTCTTCAAAGCGACACCAGCTATGTTCACTCCACTCCATACAGGAACACTTGAGTCTCCATGCTCTCCTAGGATCCATCCGTGGCAGTTTTCAGAGTGGATACCAAGCTTTTGTCCAAACAAGAAACAAAAACGAGCAGTATCCAGATTACAGCCGCTTCCAATAACACGGTTTTTGGAAAATGCACTCAACTTCCAGGCTACATAAGTTAAGTTATCCACTGGATTGGAAACAATAATCAGCTTGCAGAGGGGGCTGTACTGGACAATACCGGAAATCATTAACTTGAAGATGGCCACATTTCGCTGGACTAAATTAAGGCGCGTTTCTCCCTTTTCTTGACGTGCACCTTCTGTGATAATCACTAGGCTGGAGTTTGCTGTGACAAGGTAATCTTTGCTACAAACAATATTTGGCGTTTTCATGAAAGGGCTGCCATGTTGAAGATCCATTGTCTCACCCTTCAGTTTGCCTTCATCAAGATCCACAAGGGCAAGTTCATCACTCAAGCCTTTTAATAAGATGCTGGTAGCGCAGGCCATGCCCACCGATCCAGTTCCTATGATGGAGACCTTACTGTGATGAGCGGGCTCCTCGGAAGTGAAGCGCTCAACAAGCTCACTCTTCACGGGGGTGAAGAGCCAGGCGCCCTTGAGCGGCATGCGCGCTGCCTGACTGGGACACAGGGACAGGAAATTCGCTCCTGCCGAGCTCACTCTCCGGCTGGCCTGCACAACAGACACAGTCCAACTCATGGCTGCTCACTCAAGAAATGGAGGGAGAGAATGGAAGAAAACTGCTGACCAGGACGTCGCAACGCCAAGAGAGCCATTAGCAGCACCTTCAGCCCTCTGTGGCGAGTGCGCAAGACACGCCCCCTGGCCCTCTACTGCGGCTGCGCGGGCCTTGCCAGCGCCTTCAACATGTACTTTCCGTTGGTGCTGAGACTAAGGCAGTGAAGGGCTGCTTCTCGAGCAAGTGATTTCTGGAGTTAGTTTTACAAAGAGTATTCTCATCGATAGTTGACATGCTTAAGAGGTTAACCCAGATCCCCGGAATTACTAGTTTTCTATTTTTAGTATGAATGCCAAGGAAAAATGCTTCTATTAACTACGGATGAAAATCAGGTTACATCTTCTGAACGGTGACCCTGCCGGGAAGGATAGGGCGCTGTGCTTTGCATACGGGTGGTTGCCTGCACCATCTCCCAGTGTCCCAGAAGTGGGCTCCTGCTATCTGGTGTATGGCGCCGGAGGCCTATTTATAAAGGATCCCACTGCCTTGGTGCCAGTTCTGGCCAGGACCCACACTGGGACAGTCAGCAGGAGCTTGAGCAGGGTAGGGGCCCGCTGGGAGTCATCCCATCACTAAAAATTCACCAGGCGAGAATGCTATTCCTTTCTCATGCTAGAGGAAAGCCTTTGATTGTGCGTCCCGAAGAAAAACGACTTCTCAGGTAGAAAGCTGGCAATGCAGTCCTCAATTAAAATGAGGATATCTCTTAAAAGTCCTTAAAATGGCAAGTTTCAACCAATGCATAAATCAGATTATTGACCAAAGTAGTGAAATAAATGATCTAGTACAACGTGGCATCAGTATGCCTTATTTCTTCAGCATTTCTCTGGGCAATCTTAAGAACTAAATTCCCTTACAGTTTCTGAGGAGGTGTCAACTTCACATCTGATGAAATGCATACCCTAATAAGCCCAGTAAACTACAAAAGCTCCAAAAAAAATGATGGCACTTTCTCCTCACTTATAAACAGCATTCTGCCCGTGTAATGGTTCCTCAAAAGCTCTCCCTCTTGTTTTATTTAAAAGCAGTGTGCTCTTCTGGAATGGGGCCCCTTGGTACATGTAGCTCCTCATGATCAGCAAAAAAAAGATTTCCGCTTTAGAATATTGAATGCTGACAAAATGAATACTTTATATTTGGACTTGAAAAGCTATTACTTTTTTTTTTTTGAGACAGAGTCTTGCTCTGTTGCCCAGGTGCAATGGCATGGTCTCAGCTCACTGCAACCTCTGCCTCCCAGGTTCAAGCCATTCTCCTGTCTCAGCCTCCCGAGTAGCTGGGATTACAGGCACCTGCCACCACACCTGGCTAATTTTTGTATTTTTAGTAGAGACAGGGTTTCACCATATTGGTCAGGCTGGTCTCTAACTCCTGATCTCAGGTGATCTGCCTGTCTCGGCCTCCCAAAGTGTTGGGATTACAGGCATAAGCCAACGCGCCTGGCCGAAAAGCTATTCTTATTTGTGCCATTGAAAGGCAGTCCAGGGCTGGACGCAGTGGCTCACACCTGTAATCCCAGCACTTTGGAGGCTGAGTTTGTGGATCACTTGAGGTCAGAAGTTCGAGACCAGCCTGGCCAACACAGTGAAACCCCATTTCTACTAAAAATACAAAAATTAGCCGGGTGTGGTGGTGTGTGCCTATGGTCCCAGCTACTCAGGAGGCAGAGGCATGAGAATTGCTTGAACCCTGGAGGCGGAGGTTGCAGTGAGCCAAGTTCATGACACTGCACTCCAGCCTGGGCGATAGAGCAAGACTCCGTCTCAACAAAAGAAGAAAAAAGGCAGTCCAGGAGGAGAGGAACAATAAGCAAAGGAGTTGGTGAGGGTGGGAAAGGTGTGCCATCAGCTGAGTTCCTGACATCCTGTTTCAGGGTGACCTCCTGGCCATGTTTTCCCTATCAGTAAGGATCAGATACCCCGTTCAGATGACAGAGCCACAAACCAAATGGTAAGGGGACTAGGTACATGAATCCTCTTAGCACTGGTGGTCAGATTTTTGGTTAACATTTGTCAAATTAAAAACTGCAGTTTTAAAAGGGTCATCTTTATTTAATGGTGGCCAATGTTTTAGAGGAATCCTTTAAAAGCAACAATTTTTGATAGCTGTCATTTCTTTTATCTCAGTCATAACTTGAAATGTTTTAACCTGGTGACTGTTCCCACCATCCACCTATAATGATTCCTTTCACCAGTCAAGTCATTTTCCAAGATAAGTGTTGTTGAACATGAAATTCAAGGACATAAAGACTCTTCGCGGGATGGCTACTTTCTATAGTCATTTTCTTTCTATCGTTTGAACCTCTTCAGAAATACAATCTCTCTAATAGCTGCCTCTTCAGTTTTTCCCCTTAGCCACAACTAAATCAATCTTGAGGGGGAAAAAAAACTGTTCAAAATAAAAACATACCAAACAAAGCAGCTTTTTTATTTACAATAAGTCTTGAGATAAAAAAGGAAAGCACTAACAAAGACGAAGAGATGTATGTGACCTCCAGAGCATATTTAGGTCTACTCAAAGATGTGGAAAGCCAAGTATAGCTAGACAGCTCCCTAGTGACTTCCTATCCTAGGTGGCTCATTATTCCTTCTGAATTGAAAACCTGACTCAAATTATCTATTCAAAACGCAGTACAGTATTATAGCTAATGGCAGGATTACACCTCAGTACTTTCGGTTGTACCACTTAGGAGGGAGGAAGCAGGAAATGAAAACAACCAGCAAGTCCCTGGGCCAAGAATGGCTGCCACTAAGTCACTATTCCTTTCACCTGGACTCACACCCAGCTCTCAAATCCTCCTTTTCCTCTCCGGGAGTCCAGTTCTGATATTCCATTCTCTCACCAATCTTTGCCAATCCCCTAAGCAGAACTGGCTTTCTAAAAGCCTATGTCACCACTGTACTTTGTACCTCTCTCCATTAGAGGATTTATCACACACAGTTAAATGTAAAATACTTACGAATGTGCCACTGCAAGAAGGATCACCTTTTATTTACCAGCATATCCCTGTCCTCTAGAACAGAGCTGGGCCCACGAATAGGGATTTGGTAAATGTAGTAGAAAAGAATGAGGAACTGTAGAGCTGAGTGAGTAAGGCTGGGGAGTGGGCTAAAAGGTGAGAGAGACAGAAAGGCGGGGCCACAGACCCCATCTAGAGAGAGTTCTGAAAATGAGGGTAAGTAAAATGGGTAGGTGGCACCCACTGGGGCATCTTTAGAAAGTTGATGCATATATTTCAAGTAAAGCTTTGGATAAGCTAAAAGATTTTGTGGCTATTTTCAAAGCCAATACCCACTTTTACCAAGTTAAAACATTAAAAAACAAAACAAAAACAAAAATCTATTACAGTGTTAGAAATGCAGTAAAACAAATATGCAGTGGCAGAGAAACTATTTTTATCCTTTAAAGTTATTTAAAATGTTCTGTTCTTTGGAAAGCTTTAAAAAAATAATCAGCACACAGAACCCTTGGTTTAGGGGAAAGGGATAAAATGAAAGCAGTGTTAATTATTACAAGCTGATCTGAAATAGGCCATAAACTCACCAGCATGAACACAATTATTTTGAAAGTCTTCTTTGTGATTTGAAAAATCATAGAATGCAAATTGTAGTTTTAAAATAAATTAGTGGGCTCTAATTCTATTGCTCAGTAATTCTCATGGTGGCGGGGGGAGGGGGGGGTCTCTGCAAATCCCAGCACATGAAAATATTTTACTTTGTCAGCAACACTGGGAAAACTGGAGGAAAGACAAATAGAGGGCCACAAAGAATAGAATAAAGGCAAAAAGTCAATTCAAAGAGCAATGCTGGGATCAACTTCCTGTTTACGGTATTTAAATATGAAATGAATTGGCAAGCTCTTCTAATAAATAACCCCAATCACATTTTTGTTCTTTGAAAGCAGCATCTTATACATAATTTCTGATGCAATATAAAAGAGCCACTTGTGTTAATCATTAAAAAGGAAAACTTATAATGTGGCATAAAACATGGAAAGCAAAGAAATTAAAATTCATTAGCCTGGGCGCAGTGACTCGCACCTGTGATCCAAGCACTTCAGGAGGCCGAGGCAGGTGGATCACTTGAGGTCAGGCATTCCACACCAGCCTGGTCAACATGGTGAAAGCCCGTCTCTACAAAAAATACAAAAATCAGTCGGGCATGGTGGTGCATGCCTGTAGTCCAGCTACTTGGGAGGCTGAGGCAGGAAAATTGCTTGAACCCAAGAGGCAGAGGTTTCAGTGAGCCAAGATTGTGCCACTGAACTCCAGCCTGGGTGACAGAGTGAGACTCTGTCAAAAAAAAAAAAAAAAAAAAAAAAAAAAAGAGAGAGAGAGAGAGTGCCACTGAAATGAAATGGTAGAAGTGATGTGATCAGATTGCATTCAATAAATACTTACTAAACACCTACAATGCATTAGGCAGTGTTACAGGTGCGAGGATATAACAATGACCAAGATAAAGGAGGTCTCTACCCTCAGAATCTACATTCTTTTTGTGAAGACTGATAAAACAAGACAATGGTCAATATCATCTCGTTTTGCAATAGGCGTTACAAAGAAAAGAAAATAGGATAATTTCAGAGAGTAACTGGGTGGTGGGAATGAAGACATCTGGAGAAGCTGCTCTGAGGAGGTAAATTAAGTTTGAGTTGAAACCCTGGATAGCAGCAAACAGCCAGCGATGCAAGGACCTGGGGAAGGAGTTTCCTGGGCAAAGCTAGAGTAAAGGCCCTAGGCAGGAACAGCCCTGTGTGTTGAAGGAATAAGAATGCTGGCAGGGCTGGAGTGCAGTGGGAAGAGGTGAGGTGGGCAATTGTGGTGGCTCAAGATGAGGTCAGTGAGGTTGGTGGGGCTACATCATGTAAACCTTCTTCAACAGGAAGCCACTGAAGGGTTTTAAATAAGGAAGTAGCATGATCTGACTCACATTTTTAAAATATCTCTGGCTGCTGTGTGGAGAAAAAATTCTAGAAGGAATAAGGAAGAGGCCGGGAAACTGGACAGGAAACTCTTAAAACACTAGGCAACAGAGGAATGGATGTGGAGAGATGAAGGAGGCAGGCGGTGTTCAGCGGCAGAGCTGACAAGCAGGACTTGCATGCATCAGATGAAGGGAACCAAGGGAAATGAGAGAATCTAAGAGGATTCTCACTGGGGTTTTTGGTTTGAAGTGGAAGGATGAGATGACGGTGGCATTTACGGAATGGGGAAGACCAAGGGAGGAGCAAGTTGGGAATAAAGTGAGGAAATCAAGTGCTCTAGTTGGGACATGGGTCATGTGACACGCCTATGAGGGCGTGTCATATTGTGAGGGCACACAATATGAAGCAGAGACGCCGATCTGAAGGTCAGGGCTGGGGCTATGTATCTGGACGGCATCAGATAGTACTGTTTGTTTTAAAGTGGCAGGGACTGGACGAAAGAGCCAAGGGGCGGAGGATAGATGGAGGACAGAAGAGTTTAAGTAGGAGCTACTGGACACTGATGTTAAGAGGCTGGCCAGGGGAGGGGTTGGCACAAGAGACAGGCAAAATGTCCAGTGAGGTGGAAGGTAGCTCAGAAGCCACAGTGTTTCAGGATGGAGGGGGGGCTCCATTGTGCCCAAATGTTGCTGGGAGGGCAAGTAACAGAGGATAAAGTAAGATCTGGCAACAAGGAGGGCACTGGCAACCTTAATAGCAGTTCCAGTGCAGCGCTGGGGCAAGGAGCTGGACTGAGAGCAGGAAGGGGAGGAAGTGGAGGCAGTGACCACAGACAACTCTTTCGGGAAGCTTTTTGTGTAAAGGGGAGCAGATAAATGGGCTGGTAGCTGGAGGAGGCTAAGGAATATCTAGAGAGAACCTCTAGAGGTGGGAGAAACTAGAGCATGTCTGTACACACCACAGCAGAGAAGGAACATGTCACAATCAGCTAAGGCTGAGGATAACGATGGGAGCAAGGTCCCTTGTAGATGACGAGGGGCAGGATCTAATGCCCAAAAGGCAGGGTGGGCCTCTGGCAGCAGCATGGACCTTTTATCTCTGGTAACAGGAAGAAAGGCAGTGTGCGTGTTAAGTCCAGAGAAGGTGAAGGCCAGAGTGCTCTGGCAGAAGGGCAGAGAAAGGGCTGCAGAGAGGCAAGGCGGGAGGCAGGGAGAACAGAGACAGCTGTCCGAATCATCTTGGAGCAAGAAGGTGCCATCAACTATAGTGGCTGTGGGGGTCAGGGAAAAGCAAGATGTGGTGACTGATTAGATGCAGGGGTGAGACACAGTGTGGTCAGGAATGGCCACCTGGCTTTTCTGTCTGGGCAGCTTTGTGGGTGATGCTGCTATTCACGGGGAGAATGACTCAGGAGTAGGTTGTAGTTGGGGACAAATGACAGTTCACTGAGGGACACACGGGATGCCTGCAGGACACCCAAGCACCTGTGTCCAGTCAACTGGGCCCATGAGCCTAGAGCTCAGGGTGTAAATGAAGGCATCAGAGTGGCTGGAACCTGTGAAGGAGAAGAGATGAGGGGAGGAAAAAAAGCACCTTAAGCATAACTGGGTAAAATAAAGCAGCACTATTTCACAAGTAAGTGGGACAGTCGGAAGTTACAACAGCCAAACTGGAATCGAGAAAACTCATAAAAAGAATAAAGGAAGAACTATAAAAGCCTAGAATCTGTCAGTATAAGAAGCAAACAATAAATGATAGATCTGAGTCACCAAGAAAAAGTTACATGATAAGTTATGTTCAGCACAATTTACATAGTGGAAAAATATATAGCACATTAGAAAATGATTTCTTAAAATTGTTAGAAACATTTCAGGTAGAAAAATCCATTTGAGAGAACATCATTTTCTGATATACCGGTAAGTGAATACTTACAAACTGTACATATCAACTATATATTAGTGTAATACTGTCCCACAGTTTTAGATATTTGTAAGTGACTAATCAATCATAAGTAACTTTTAAAACGGAGCTTGAGGGGGAAGCAAATGATATCAGGTCTCCAGTCCACAATGCTTTATTTAGAGAGATCTGCTCATGTGTGCCCAATTTTCTAGGCTCAGTCTAAGAATTAAGGACAAAGAAAAAGAAAACCCAAGTGAAATCTAGGCTGCCTTCCTCCTGTGGGATACGGCTGGGAATATTATCGAGGTGATGAAGTCTGATCTGTGTCAAGCCTCAGAACAAAAAAGCTTTTATGGCAGAGCTGATTTGTCCCAGTCCTTGTCGCACGTTCCCACTTGATAAAATGCTTGGGGTGCTATTTTACTTATACAAGGAAACAGGTGGGTTTGAAAGAGCTATTTTGGAAATATGCCAAAACAGCGGATTCCCCTGCTTGACTTTTTAAAAAAGTACATTGGTCATTATCTCCCATCTTAAACTGAGCAAGTCCCTGTGATTCGGGTTCTCTGTCACCAAACTGCTTGTCCACATATGCATCAAGTGCCTCTGTCCACTACGATGTTAAACCTATTAGAGCTGCAGTGGAATGGGGAAGAAGAGTTATAGAGATGTTCTTGTCACCTCTGACTTGAACCTATTCACTGATGTGCAGTGCTACTTCCAATTCATTTAAAAATGATTCCAGGAAAATATTCCCCAGTCCTCAAGCTGTTTGAAGGCCCAAGAGTGTGACACATGGAACTACCTCTGCAGGATCGTGATGACTGTTCTGAGGTTCTAGTGAGCACTATGAAGAAGTGGAAACGAGGCCGAATATGCTGACGTATGGTAATCAAAATAAGAAATTGAGGCTTGCTTCCTGGGGGCAGAAGCTGGTAGAGATCTCTGGAAGCACTGAAATTAGATTAGGCAAGGAGGCAGAGGGAAATGTTTCAGCCGCTTCTCACACTTCCCCTGCAGATCCCTCAGAAGTGGCTGCCATTAAACAATTGGCCAGGAGACTCAGTTTTGTTTTTAATGTTTGATCTAAGCCAATGAAAGTACATAGCCCTTAAAGTCTATTTCCCTCCTTAGAGATCATCAAAGTTAAACATTTCTAAGCTTTTTCACAGTTTTACTATTTACATATGGGGTTCTAGCAGTCACTCTACAACGCTGCTTCATTTGAGGTGAATAGGTAAAAATAATGCAGGAATAAACGTACTGATAAGAGAAACACCAAACTACCAGTGAAACTTAAATTAGCAAGGAGCCAAAAGAAATTTGATTGTAATTATTAGCTAAGGCCCTCCAGTTGGTCATAAGGTTACTAAGAAGTGAGCCTAAATATTATCATAAAAATTATACCTAGGAGCAGCTACAAAAAAGAACTGGAGAAAATAAATATTATCAGAGTACATCCAATACTGTCCTAGAGGAAAGATACAATATTACTTCCCTTAAAGATTCTCTTGTAATAGGAAAGCACAATGTCCATTTATAGAGACATATTTAAAATATATCTGTTTTATTTACATGTTTTACTTTTTGTTTTTTAAAGAAAAGGAGGTCTGGGCTCTTGAAAAAGCAGCAATGTCTATCAGCAGAAGAGGAGGCAAGACGGGGCCCTGGAAAGCTGTGCAAGATGCCAATCAGAAATCACTTCCATAAAAGCCTTTCTAGCAGCAGGGACTCAGGAGAGATACAGGAAGAAAGAGAGTTGGGGGTGGGGGTGGATTACTTTCTATCAATCAGATTGGCAAAAATTTCAGAGTAATAGAAGCCACTCAGGGCAAGGATCCCAAGAAACTTTTATGCATTTTGTATAAACTTTTCTGGAGGGCTGGTTAGCAACAAATATCAAAAACATTTTAAAAATGCACTTTGACTCAACAAACAATAACATCTTTTGTGCAAGGAGATGTATGCCTACAGGTTCCCTATGGTATTTAATAGTGAAAAATTGCAATCTAAATGCCATTGGCAGGAGACTGATTAAATAGATTATAATATACAATAGGGTTCCCTATAGTGATTAAAAGTGATGGAGATTGATATACTCTGCTGTGCAAAGATGCTCCTGTGACTGTTTAGTGAAAAAAGATTGCAGAGTAGCAGGCAGTAAAGCAGCATTTCTATACAACTCTATGAATATGCCTACACAAGATGCTCCAAAAGGATGTTTCTAATGTAATTATGATTACAACTTAGTAGGATTTCTGGTGATTTTTGTTTTGTACTTTTCAACATTGATTTTTTTTTTAAACGAGTACATATTTTTATAAAAAATACCAAAGGTTGTCTTTTTTTTTCTGTTTTGAATAAAAAGGTCCTCAATATATATACGAAGATAAATACTGTTTTTGTTTGTTTTTAAACAGGGTCTCTGTCACCTAGGCTGGAGTGCAGTGGTGTGATCTTAGCTTGCCACACTCTCAACCTGCCAGTCAGGTTCAAGTGCTCCTCCCACACCTCAGCCTCCTGAGTAGCTGGGACTACGGGCACGTGCCACCATGCCTGGCTAATTTTTAAAATTTTTTTGTAAAAACAAGGTCTCGCTATGTTGCCTAGGCTAATCTCAAATTCCTAGACTCAAGCAATCCTCCTGCCTCAGCCTCCCAAAGTACTGAGATTGCAGGCATGAGCCACCGCCCACCTAACAAATACTTCTTATCCCATGGCAAAGGGGTAAAAAAACAAATCAAAAACTCCCTTCATTTATACATTAATTTAAAAATTTAAATAACTGGACAACTTAAAGTACTTCACAATAACTAAGGACATTTTCACTGATGGTTTTTTATTACAGTTGAGGTTTCAGCTCCTGTGAGGACAACAGCTATAAATTATCTGTAAATTCCTACTATACTAGGCATCATGAATGCATTCTCTAGAGGCCCCAGTAAAGGTTAGCAATGTTCATTCTGCCAGTCCTTTGAGATAACCACCTCCCCACAAACATAGAGCACAGGTCCACAGACATAGCGCATACCCCCCTGATAAAGTTCTAATCATACCAACTAGGAATTATTTAGATATTTAATGTTTCTCCTTCTAAGGGGAGGAAAAAACTCAAGGTAGTCTAGCTATAAATAACCTAAACCTCTTCAGAATCCTTCAAGTATCAACACGTACTATAAATAATAAAAGGTAAACAAGTGTAAAAGTCACTGCTCTTGAGTCACATGTAAATAACCATGTAAACAGCAAGGCTTCTTTTTCTTCTTTGATAGTTAGGGAATTGCCACTTAGTACAAGAGTTCCTTAAAGCATTTACCTCAACTGTTCTCCAAACTTAAACTATCTGTCTTGATAAAACAACTGAATCATAGCATCCCAGTGTGCACTCACCTGGCCTCATCATAGTGTCCCAGTGGGCACTCACCTGGCCTCATCATAGTGTCCCAGTGTGCACTCACCTAGCCTCATCACAGTGCCCCAGTGTGTGCTCACCTAGCCTCATCATAGTGTCCCAGTGTACACTCACCTGGCCTCATCATGGTATCCCAGTGTGCGCTCACCTAGCCTCATCATAGTGCCCCAGTGTGCGCTCACCCGGCCTCATCATAGTGCCCCAGTGTGCCCTCACCTAGCCTCATCATAGTGTCCCAGTGTTCGCTCACCCGGCCTCATCATAGTGTCCCAGTGTGCGCTCACCTAGCCTCATCATAGTGCCCCAGTGTGCACTCAGCTAGCCTCATCATAGTGTCCCAGTGTGCACTCACCCGGCCTCATCATAGGGTCCCAGTGTGCACTCACCCGGCCTCATCATAGGGTCCCAGTGTGCACTCACCCGGCCTCATCATAGTGTCCCAGTGTGCACTCACCTAGCCTCATCATAGTGCCCCAGTGTGCACTCACCTAGCCTCATCATAGTGCCCCAGTGTGCACTCACCTAGCCTCATCATAGTGCCCCAGTGTGCACTCACCTGGCCTCATCATAGTGTCCCAGTATGCGCTAACCTAGCCTCCCCAGTGTGCAGTCACCTAGCCTCATCATAGTGTCCCAGTGTGCGCTCACCTAACCCCATCATAGTGCCCCAGTGTGCTCACACCTAGCCACATCATAGTGTCCCAGTGTGCACTCACCTAGCCCCATCATAGTGTCCCAGTGTGCACTCACCTAGCCCCATCATAGTGTCCGAATGTGCGCTCACCCAGCCTGATCATACTGTCCGACTGTGCGCTCACCTAGCCTCATCATAGTGTCCCAGTGTGCGCTCACCTAGCCTCATCATAGTGCCCCCGTGTGCACACACCGAGCCTCATTATAGTGTCCCAGTGTGTGTTCACCTAGCCTCATCATAGTGTCCCAGTGTGCGCTCACCTAGCCTCATCATAGTGTTCCAGTGTGCGCTCACCTAGCCTCATCATAGTGTTCCAGTGTGCACGCATACGGCCTCATCATAGTGTCCCAGTGTGCAATCACCTGGCCTCATCATAGTGCCCCAGTGAGCACTCACCTAGCCTCAGCATAGTGCCCCAGTGTGCACTCAACCGGCCTCATCATAGTGTCCCAGTGTGCGCTCACCTAGCCTCAACATAGTGCCCTAGTGTCCCCTCACCTAGCCTCATCATAGTGTCCCAGTGTGCGCTCACCTGGCCTCATCATAGTGTCCCAGTGTGCACTCACCCGGCCTCATCATAGTGTCCCAGTGTGCACTGAGCTAGCGTCATCATAGTGCCCCAGTGTACACTCATCTAGCCTTATCATAGTTTCCCAGTGTGCACTCACCTAGCCTCATCATAGTGCCCCCGTGTGCACACACCGAGCCTCATTATAGTGTCCCAGTGTGTGTTCACCTAGCCTCATCATAGTGTCCCAGTGTGCGCTCACCTAGCCTCATCATAGTGTTCCAGTGTGCGCTCACCTAGCCTCATCATAGTGTTCCAGTGTGCACGCATACGGCCTCATCATAGTGTCCCAGTGTGCAATCACCTGGCCTCATCATAGTGCCCCAGTGAGCACTCACCTAGCCTCAGCATAGTGCCCCAGTGTGCACTCAACCGGCCTCATCATAGTGTCCCAGTGTGCGCTCACCTAGCCTCAACATAGTGCCCTAGTGTCCCCTCACCTAGCCTCATCATAGTGTCCCAGTGTGCGCTCACCTGGCCTCATCATAGTGTCCCAGTGTGCACTCACCCGGCCTCATCATAGTGTCCCAGTGTGCACTGAGCTAGCGTCATCATAGTGCCCCAGTGTACACTCATCTAGCCTTATCATAGTTTCCCAGTGTGCACTCACCTAGCCTCAACATAGTGCCCCAGTGTGCGTTGATCTGACCTCATTATAGTGCCCCAGTGTGCAATCACCTAGCCTCATCATGTCCCAGTGTGCACTCACCTGCCCTCATCATAGTACCGCAGTATCCACTCACCTAGCCTCATCATAGTGTCACAGTGTGCACTCACCGAGCCTCATAGTGCCCCAGCGTGCACTCACCTAGCCTCATCATAGTGTCCCAGTGTGCACTCACCGAGCCTCATCATACCGCCCCAGTGTGCACTCAGCTAGCCTCATCATAGTGCCCCAGTGTACGCTCACCCGGCCTCATCATAGTGCCGCAGTGTGCACTCACCTAGCCTCACCATAGTGTCGCAGTGTGCACTCACCCGGCCTCATCATAGTGCCCCAGGGTGCACTCACCTAGCCTCATCATAGTGTCCCAGTGTGCGCTCACCTGGCCTCATCTTACTGTCCCAGTGTGCGCTCACCTGGCCTCATCTTACTGTCACAGTGTGCGCTCACCTAGCTTCATCATAATGCCCCAGTGTGAACTCAACTAGCCTCATCATAGTGCCACAGTGTGCACTCACCTGGCCTCATCATAGTGTCCCAGTGTGCACTCACCTAGCCTCATCATAGTGTCCCACTGTGCGCTCACCCGGCATCATCATAGTGCCCCAGTGTGCGCTCACCCGGCCTCATCATAGTGCCTCAGTGTGCGCTCACCTAGCCTCATCATAGTGTCCCAGTGTCCGCTCACCTAGCCTCATCATAGTGTCCCAGTGTGCACTCACCTGGCCTCATCATAGGGTCCCAGTATGCACTCACCTGGCCTCATCAAAGTGTCCCAGTGTGTGCTCACCCGGCCTCATCATAGTGTCCCAGTGTGCGCTCACCTGGCCTCATCATAGTGTCCCACTGTGCGCTCACCCGGCCTCATCATAGTGCCTCAGTGTGCCCTCACCTGGCCTCATCATAGTGTCGCAGAGTGTGCTCACCTGGCCTCATCATAGTGTCCCAGTGTGCGCTCATCCGGCATCATCATAGTGTCCCAGTGTGCGCTCACCTGGCCTCATCATAGTGCCCCAGTGTGCGCTCACCTGGCCTCATCATAGTGCCTCAGTGTACGCTCACCGGGCCTTATTACAGTGTCCAGTGTGCGCTCACCTGGCCTCATCATAGTGCCCCAGTCTGCGCTCACCTGGCCTCATCATAGTGCCCCAGTGTGCACTCACCTAGACTCATCATAGTACCCCAGTGTGCAGTCATCTGGCGTCATCATAGTGCCCCAGTGTTCGCTCACCTAGCCTCATCATAGTGTCCCAGTGTGCGCTCACCTAACCCCATCATAGTGCCCCAGTGTGCTCTCACCTAGCCACATCACAGTGTCCCAGTGTGCATTCACCTAGCCCCATCATAGTGTCCCAATGTGCGCTCACCTGGCCTCATCATAGTGTCCCCGTGTGTGCTCACCCGGCCTCATCACAGTGACCCACTGTGCGCTCACCTGGCCTAATCATAGTGTCCCAGTGTGCGCTCACGTGGCCTCATCAGAGCGCCCCAGTGTGCGCTCACCTAGCCTCATCACAGTGCCCCAGTGTGCACTCCCCTAGCCTCATCACAGTGCCCCAGTGTGCGCTCACCTGGCCTCATCACAGTGTCCCAGTGTGCGCTCACCTGGCCTCATCACAGTGTCCCAGTGTCCGCTCACCTGGCCTCATCATAGTGCCCCAGTGTGCGCTCACCTAGCCTCATAGTGTCTCAGTGTGCACTCACCCGGCCTCGTCATAGTGCCGCAGTGTGCGCTCACCCGGCCTCATCATAGAGCCCCAGTGTGCGCTCACCCGGCCTCATCATTGTGTCCCAGTGTGCGCTCACCCGGCCTCATCATAGTGTCCCTGTGTGCGCTCACCCGGCCTCATCATAGTGTCCCAGTGTGCGCTCACCTGGCCTCATCATAGTGCCCCAGTGTGCACTCACCTGGCCTCATCATAGTGTCCCAGTGTGCGCTCACCTGGCCTCATCATAGTGTCGCAGTGTGCACTCACCTGGCCTCATCATAGTGTCCCAGTGTGCACTCACCTGGCCTCATCATAGTGTCCCAGCATGCATTCCCATGATCATGTACACAGCTGATTTAGGAGACTACAAACCCAAAGTAAATGTTCATCTTTTTTTCCAGAATTAAGTTATTGTGATAAAATTGGTGCTATCTTAATTATAATCAAATAATAAAATACCATAGTTGAAAGTAATCGATGAACACAAACTGAACAGTCAAGCCGTGCTTGTTGGCCAGGGTGGGCCGGGGAGCAGGGTAGATACTGAACTGGCACTGATTTCTCCCCATTGTCAATGCTGGGCAAACTTACCTGCCTTGGTCTAACAAGACATCTTCTGCTACCTCTCCTTCTTTAGATCCTCTGGTTAAATGATATAACAGTGTGTAAAATACACATGTGTTTATATTTAATGTTATTATATGCATTCTATGTGAAATGAAATTCCAGAATAATTATGAATAAACAAACAGTAAAACCAAAATACTTTAAAGAAACCGAAGTTTCACTTTAAGCATTTTAAACATGTTCCCTTTTAGGCCAGCAGATGTAGCTGCGAATTAAAATAGGAACCGCAAGCACTTTCATCAAGCTGCTCTAGGTTAACCATTAGATGGCACCCTTTTGTATTGGAACTGGGTTTCTATCAGAGATTCAATTCAATTCGAGCTAGCTACTTACAATTATTTAACGCTGGAGTTGATTTTATCTAGAATGATCATCTCAGTTATTTATTGAGTGCATAGACTTGGACCATTTCTGTTTAACATTTTCTGACTGAGACTGTTTTCTTAGTCATACAAAGATGAGACAGTACACAGTGACAGAAGTTCTTACTGGACTCAGGGTAACCTCATAATTATCAAAACTCTCTAAACGTTGAGCTGAATATACCACATTGCTGTCTGCAAGCCTCAGAGCAGGGTCATACCATAAGAATTTGCTTAGAAAGTCAACAGGTAAGGTTTACCCCTTTACAGGGTAGCGCTGTCTTAGCACAGTGCTTGGCTCAGGAGAGACCCACAAATGACTTTAGAATGAACAAACCAGCAAATTAGTAAACACTACCGCCTTTAAAAGATATGACCTTGAAAAGGTATCAGTGAGTTCATTTTTCTGTGGGCCTTCTCAAACATGGAGATCAAACTGATATGCCTAATGATCTATATGCAGAGAGAGTGCATATGCAGTCTCTCTTTTTACTTAGACATAAAGATGTCAGGAACTCTCTTTCTTTGTGGTCCCAGCACCTAACCCAATCCCAGGTACCCAGCAGAGGCTGAGTAGATATTTCCTACTTATCACTGGATGACATAAAGATGCAATATAAAAGGATTCCACATATTCTTATATTCAGTAGTGCCAACCAGAAAATATTTTTTCTCCCCAAAATATCTTATTTAGGCAGCAATCCTTGTATCAATGCCAAAAAACAAAGAAGTTCACATTCTACCCATCTTCAGTGCTGGGCAAACGTATCTGCTTTGTTTGGTAACAAGATAGCTCCCAATACCTCTCCTTCTTTGGAACCTCTGATTAAATGATATACCACTGTGTGAAATAGAAATGTATGTTTGTATTTAATGTATGTGTTCTATGTGAAATGAAATTCCATAATAATTATGAATAAAAAATTGGATTATTCTAGCACAGTTGGATTATTCTAGCCCATAAACACTGAATTATCAAGTGTATAATTTAGATAACCTAATTTTGTTGGTTTATGAAAACTGGGATTGACTCTTCTAAGTGAGACTATTTGTATTTTCAAATACCTTAAAATTTTACTAAGTTTGTGACCCACATTACTAAACACTGGAAACATCACATATCAGTTCCACACAGTTCATGTAAAGTGCTAGCAGACTGTCATTTTTATAGAAACTAGAAGCTTAATAACTTTATTACTAAGTACTACTTAATAATCTGAAGATTCAGACCTGGGTTTAAATCTTGACACTGCCAATCACATGTTATGTCATCTTGGGCAAGTGATTTAACCTCTTTGAGCCCCAATTTCCTCATTTATAAAATGGGGGATATTAATATCTGCTAGATAGTTATTATGAAGATTAAATAATCTGCTATGTCTAAAATGTCTGTAGAATGCCTAAAATGGAAGAAGAGATTTTATATTGGTCGAAAGCAAAATTGAGGTTAACAGCAAAAATCATGAAAAATCTTCAGTCACAGGTTTTCTGTCTTTTCAAGCAATCTCTAATTTAGCATTACAAACAATGATTAGCCAGCAAAGTTAACTCAAAAATCAAGGTGAGGGCCAGGTGCAGTGGCTCACACCTTTAATCCCAGCACTTCGGGAGGCTGAGGCAGAAGATCGCTTGAGTCCAGGAGTTCGCAACCAGCCTGGGCAACATAATGAGACCTCATCTCTACAAAAAATAAAAAAAATGAGCCAGGCATAGTGACATGCATCTGTGGTCCCAGCTACACAGGAGGCTGAGGTGGGAAGGTTGCTCGAGCCCAGGAGGCTGCAGTGAGCTGAGGTCACACCACTGCACTCCATCCTGGGTGACAGAGGAAGACCTTGTCTCCAAAGAGTCGAAAATAAAAATAAATTTTAAAAACAAAGGTTAGACTAGGAGAAAAGCACCATCATCTGTCTATCAGTGTATTCTGAGTGGAAAGCACAGTAATGTTTATGTTTGTTTACGATTAAACTAAATATGAAAAGCTCAATAATGTCTATGAGGTTGTTCCTGCAACCCTGCCAACTTGCCCCAGTTTCTTCCTCCCTGCTGAATCATTCCCATCAGCATATACATGCTGTTAATTCTCCCAATGTAAAATATAACAAGTAAAAACTTATCTCTTGATCCCATTCTTTTTTCCAGCTATGACCCCATTTCCTTCCTTCACTTTGTGGCAAAACTCAAGACTCACCTAGATATACTGCCTCTGATTCTCCTCTATTCTCTTTTGAATCACTCAGGCTTCACTCCACCATTTCACCAATGGCTGTCACACTGCCAAACCGGGTGAATCATCAGTCCTCATCTTACGTAACTTATCACCAGCATACAACACAGTCAGTCACTTCTCCTTGAAGTGTTTTCTTCACCGGGTGTCCAAGTCACCAGGCCAAGGAGATTTCCCTCTTCAGTAGGGTACTTTCCCCTCATTCCCCAACCTCTTAACATTAGGAGTCCCCAAGAGTTCCTTCCTCAGACCTCTTCTCTTTTCTTTCAACCTTCACTGCCTTGGTGAGTTAATCTAGTCTCACAGCTTTAAATGCTAGCCATATACTGATGAGTCTCAAATTCAAATCTTCACCTTGTACTTCTCCCCTAACTCTCAACTTCTATATCTAACTGCTTACTTGCTCTCCATCTCACTATCAAACGGATGTGTCAACCTCACAAGTCAGATTGAGCTCCTGACATTATCTCCCAATACCTCCTTTTCTCACACTGCTCCCCACCCATCCTTCAGTTGCTCAGGCCAAAAGTCTTGATGACATCCAACTTCACTCTTTCTCACACCCCACATCCAATCAACAACAAATCTTTGCTGACTTGACCTTCAAAATATATCGACATCTGTTTTCATCAACTTTACCGCTGCCACCTATCTCAAACTACTGCCAATTCTCACCAGTCACGAAGGGTCCGGTCCACAGAACTTCCAACCAGTTGTTTAAAAAAAGAAGGCAGTCATTCTTAATGTAATGCTCTGTAGCTTGAAGTATAAATTTTACATATATACACAAACACAGACACAGACACACAAGATTTTAGGATTTTTTCCAAAAATGTGTAAATAACACATTAGTAATTTAAATAATTAATTTTAAAATGCTTTAACTTTTACAAAGATTATATATATATGTCAAACAGCAATAGAAAGTTGTTCCAAATTAATAATTTTATTGAACAAATCGCTAATGTCAATTTGTTTATTTATTCTACTTTGTTTTTGAGACAGGGTCTTACCCCGCTGCCAAGGCTGAAGCGCAATGATCTTGGCACACTGCAGCCTCAGCCTGTGAGGCTCAGGTGATCCTCCTCCCTCAGCCTTCTGAGTAGCTAGGACTATAGGCGCATGCCACCACACCCAGCTAATTTTTTTATAGAGACAGGGTTTCTTTACATTGCCCAGGCTGGTTTTGGACTTCAGAGCTCAAGTGATTTGCCTGCCGCAGGCTCCCAAGGTGCTGGGATTACAGGCATAACCCACTGCACTCGCCCTAATGTCAATTTATATAGAACATTAGCTATAAATTAGTCATTACTTAATTATATTTGAAGTTTTACCACCTTCAAAAATTGTATTTATTAGTAATAAGAAGTTGTCTAGTTATTTGTAAGAATTTAGTCACGTACTCTGTCATCATCTCCCTAGACAGTGACCAAACTACATGCAAATAAATTTGAAAACCAGAAAAATTTAGAACACAGTAAGCAGAATAAACATGTAGATACCAGGGACAAGACAGTAGTTACTTACACTGTGAACTCCTAAAGCTTTCCAGACTGCGAAGCTAATCACACCAACCCCACACCATGCATACAGGGAGCCCCAGCCCAGAGCTCGCAAGGCAAGGGAAGACCCGCTTTCCGGTAATGCAGCCGTGGCCATACTTCCCTGAAATGAAACAGAAAAGTTGAGGTAAAAACAATCAGTGCAGAAAGAATAAGCATTCTGGGGGTGTTTGCAAATTCCTCTCTGTGCAAACAACATGATATTAGGAAGCTAAATCAACCCAAGGTCTAATTCTGGCTTTGCTACTTAATAATTGCATGCCTTCTCTGACTCACAGATATTTGAGTATGCAAGGCACCTTGCCTGTTAATTCTTCCAGAAAAATCCTAGACCATTTTGTCAAGATTTCTCTATCCCCCATTCATTGGCATTTTCACAGAATGACATTAAAGTGGTATTAAAATAACTCAGTTATTTTATGAATGTTTTTCCTGCCATAATATTAAGATGAGCAAGGGCACCAGATATTTCAGATAAGTAAACTTTGCATGTGTGTAAACATTATGTACTTTCTTCAGTTATTTTAACCAAATAGACATATAATACATGTTATTTTCTCTCATAGCACCTCATTTAGTCTACCGATTATGAGACTGATGTATAAATGCAGGATAGACTAGTTAACAAAAATGTTGATCTATTTTAATAGATCGACCAAAGAAGCTCAAGAGTAAATTACTTCGCCACTTTTAGCTTGCACCTTCCTCTTTCTGTTTATTCAGGGAACTACAAAGAAAAATGAATGTCCATTCAGCATCTATTATTGCTTTTCAACTCCCAGTTGTTTTGCATGACACACAGCTAAGAAAATGAGAACAGGACATTAAAAGGATAACTATCATCCCAAAATAAAAGCAGTGTAGGCAGTCCCCAACTGAAAAGTTTATCATTTTAATGTCCTCTGGGGTTGCAATTTGAATCTGTTTTAATACCTAGAATCCCAGGCTAATGGATAGAAGTCTGTTTAAATAGCAAGATTACTAAAAATTGTATCATTTCTTCCCTAGAAGTATCCCAAGATGGGAAGAGTACCATGTTGGGCAAGTTGCTTAATTCATCTGTGCCTCAGTTTCCTGCCCTTTAATGGGGACCACACATAACGGTGCTGCATAGGGTGTGAGGAGAGTTCAATGAGTCAAGCCCGCAGAAGAACAGCCAGCACATGCTAAGCACTCAAATATTAGATATTATCAATGTTAGAAAAGACCTCCAGGTGGCAACTGTGAAGTGCACTGACTAAGTGAGATTCTTAGACTGGTGCTTGCTCAGTATAAACGCATTAACTGTGTGCTCCAAAATCTCTGAGTTCTTCTACAAACAATTTTACCTCTGAAACAGAGTCTGGGTAAGTGGTCATACTCTAATTCCAGTGTTTTCCCAGAGGGAGACAGAACCATCTAAAACAGGGGTTCTCAAACTACCTGGTCTCAGGATCCCTTTACACTTGGGCCCTAAAGACTTTCAATTAAGTGGGTTGTATTTATCAATATTTAATGTATTAGAAATTAAAACTATGAAATTCTTAAATTATATTAGTCATTTAAAAATAGTAAATCATTTTAGATTAATATAAGCCTATTTTTTATGAAAAATTACTTTTCCAAAACAAAACTGTGCAAAGAGAGACAATGTTTTACATTTTTGTTAGTCTTTTATTTATTTATATTTTTTGAGATGGAGTCTCGCTCTGTCACCCAGGCTGGAGTGTAGTGGCGTGATCTCAGCTCACTGCAACCTCCACCTTCCAGGTTCAAGCAATTCTTGTGCCTCAGCCTCCCAAGTAGCTGGGATTACAGGTGCATGCCACCATGCCCAGCTAATTTTTGTATTTTTAGTAGAGATGGGGTTTCACCGTGTTGCCCAGGCTGGTCTCAAACTCCTGGCCTAAAGTGATCCGCCTCCCTCAGCCTCCCAAAGTGCTGGGATAAAAGTTTTCTAAAATCTAATTTTCACTTGAAAGCTTGAATTTTATCAGTGGCAATAAATACTGACAATTGTTTGCTTGAAAAGACAAGCTCATTTTATTCATTGTTAAGATGTCTGCCAAATATTCTTTCAAGTAAAAATGATATTCTATAGGAAAAAAGTGGCTAGTTCAGCTTGCAATTCAATTGCTTTTCTAGAGAAAAAATCCTACTTCAGTATAAAATAGAAATGCTTTATGTATTTATTTCCCATTTCTTTTTTTTTTTTTCTTTTTTTTTTTTTTGAGACGGAGTCTCGCTCTGTCACCCAGGCTGGAGTGCAGTGGCGAAATCTCGGCTTACTGCAAGCTCCGCCTCCCGGGTTCACGCCATTCTCCTGCCTCAGCCTCCCGAGTAGCTGGGACTACAGGCACCCGCCACCCGCCCAGTTAATTCTTTTGTATTTTTAGTAGAGACGGGGTTTCATCGTGTTAGCAAGGATGGTCTCAGTCTCCTGACCTCATGATCCGCCCGCCTTGGCCTCCCTAAGTGCTGGGATTACAAGCGTGAGCCACCTCGCCCGGCCTTGTATTTCCCATTTCTTTACACAGAATATTAAAATGAGGTTTATTTGAAGGTCATGATTTAATAAAATTAACTATTTTATTTCTTCAACAAGGACACTGTTAAGTAATACTGGCTTTAAAAAATACAGGTACTTTGTAATGAAGGACACAAGGACTTTCACAGTTTGGTGCTACTGCCTTAGACCAAGGTATCAGCAGTTTTACTCTCCATTGCCTCTGTACCATTAGTACAAGCATCTTAGTATCATTATGAAAATAGTTCTGACTTCATGGACCCAAGGATCAAGGATCAGCAGGGTTCTGTGGACTGCAGTTTGAAAACCACTGTTAGACCCCGAAGAGCATCTGTGATGATCAAATCTCAGAATAACAAAATAGGATGGAAAGTTGTGATATGTGTACGTGCGCTCTTCAGCCCCAGAGAATCCCTAGTTTTCATCAGATTATTAAAAAGATCAGTGAGCCAAGGATTAACATAACTTAGGCTTAGAAATCAACCAAAACTCTACTGTTAAGGCACTACTCTGATTTCCACCACAAAATATATTTCTGCTCTGAAAACATTCTATAACATAGAGAGAAAATGACCCACAAGGTCCATAGCAGTGATTTAGGAAGCTCCATATAAGCTTAGAGCATTCAGAGGGGATCCAAGCACACTTTAAACATGGTCTCTTGCCATTATGGTATCGATAAGGCTTAAGTATGATTATTAAAGATAAATGTAAGTGGAAAGGAAACTTGACTTTTTATGATGTTTTACGTAACACTTTTCCTCCATAGCACACATCAAATTGTAATTACACAGTTATTTGTGTGAATATTTATTTATTTATTTTTGAGACAGAGTCTCGCTCTGTCACCCAGGTTGAAGTGCAGTGGTGTTATCTGGGCTCACTACAACCTCAGCCTCCTGGGTTCAAGTGATTCTCCTGCCTCAGCCTCCCGAGTAGCTAGGACTACAGGAGTGCCACACCACACCTGGCTCATTTTTGTATTTTTAGTAGAGATGGGTTTTCGCCATGTTGGCCAGGCTGGTCTCAAACTCCTGACCTCAGGTGATCTGCCCCTCTCGGCTTCCCAAAGTGCTGGGATTACAGGCATGAACCACGATGCCTGGCCCAAATTTAGATTCAAAGTCATGTTGTGAATAGGAAATGTACCAGATAAGCTTTCAAAGTCTTGTTCCGCTAAAATTTAAGAAAGCACATAAGTACATCCTTCTAAATGAAAATAAAGACTTGGTTAATTTGTACATTTCTAGAATCCATGAGCGTATATAAATTCACATCTTAAAGCAATGTGAAAGACCATCAATATTTTATTTTTTCTACGCAAAAGCTGCCATATATTGTAAACAATAACAATGCTATGAATGGATTTCAGTGTCACCAACCTTATTGAACCATTCAGGGCTTTTCTTTTTAGCCAATGATAATGTTGTAATAAATCCAGCTAGCATTCCCGCTGCAGCAACGGTACCAAGGAAAATTCCACCTGCCAAGAGTTTCGGGGAGGAGGGGGGATATTAAAAAAAATTAAATAAAAAGAGGTTAAAAAGATGTACAAAAGTAAGTTTAAGATACTATTCGAGTTACAATCAAAATCACTTTTGAAATTCAAGAAACCATGGCTAAGCAGCTCTTGCTAACAGTAAATGACAGCGGCTGAGAAACACGCGTGACCGCACGACCTCTGGTTCCTTGGGTCATTCCGAATTATTATTCCCGAGCGCAGAGAAAAGGTTCAGCTTCCCTTCCCCTCTCCCCTGGGACCACAGCGTGAAGTTTCTCACGGGGAGGAGAAGAGACGATGGCAATCAGAAAAGGCAAGGCTCTAGAACAATTGCAGAGGTGACGGGGAAATATGGCACGCCCGGGAGAATAGCTCGCGGGATCTGCCCCCCGCCCCGCCCAAGGGGAGACTCCACCCAGTAAGCGACCTACCCTCCCTGGGCCGCCAGACTCCGCGGGCTAAACTCAGGGGCAAGCACAAGCTAAGGGCTCTCAGAGCGGGATGTGTGTGGGAATGCCCGCTCCAGAGCAAGCCAGGGTCCGGGGTTAACTCACCCCGACGCCCGCACCTCACCACAGCACATCTTACCTTTAACCAGGAAAAGCCGGTCATTCGTGGACCCCGGAGCCTCCAGCCCAGAGGCCGGCTGCCCAGTTGCAGCGCCCGCTGTCTCCATGTTTAGGTCGCCTCTAGTGCGTCCGTCCCCAACTGGGCCCGGGTGGAAGCGAGAACCAGGCGGAGGAGAAAGGTTCCGCTACCGCCTCCTCCTGTGCAATCTGAAGAAGGGTCCGGAGTGCGGCCGCTGTCCCCAAACCCTCCTCCCGCGCCGGGGCCGGGAAGACGTGCTGTGCCCAGCCCCAGGGGCGATGCCCTCCAAGGCCGTCTCTTAGGGAGGATCTTTTGATTTCTCCAAGGAGATCATTGCTGGACTTAAGTGATTACTTTGGCTGTTTGAAAGAACGCTCAGCCCCGACTGTAGGAGGCAGTGAGGGTCGCAGATTGCGCCAAGATTCCAGGCCCCGCCTGTGAGACCCTGGAGCTCATTTTCCTGATCAAGCTTACATTGTGTCCAACGATTTGGCCAGCGCTAACACTCCACGATTCTAAAACGCAAGCCTAGGTCTTCTGTCTGTACTTTTCTAGGTAACTTCCCAACAGTGTTGAGGAATAAGTGACAGGCTTTCTCCCTGGAGGAGAGCCAGCCACCCGGTTCTGCGGTGACGGGTACCTCCGCCGCGGTGTGAGTGCTCGGCCTCCGTCGGGAAGTGGAACACTCACAGGATGACCGAATGAAAGTACCACCCCCGAAAGGAGAGCGACGCCCGCTGGAAGCGCTTGCAGAGCTGCCGGCAACGTTGACCGCTAGCAAGCTTGGTCTTCCGCTGGGAGGCTGGTTTGCCCATTCTGTAAATGGCCGTGGAGAGGAGGAGGCTAGTGGTGATAGAAAATCTTTTCAGCCTCTCAGAGAACAATGACATCTTGTAAAATAAGGCGGTCTCTCTGCTATTTGTCCTGCCCCCCATCACCGGAGGGCATGAGTTTCCTGAGGATGGAGATGGGACTCTATGTTCAGTTTATATCCCCCAGCTTTCAGATATTAACTGGTTACCAACATCAAATGCATGTTGGATGAATGAGTAAATGAATGCATCCATTTTTGCGTCAGTGAAGTGCAGTTAATAGCTCAAACCTGGGCTCGGGTCCTAAACCGCTTCTCAGGTGTGTGAACTTGGGGTAACTTAGCCCCTCTATAGCTCAGTTTCCTCACCTGTAAAATTTAAAAACTGGTAGTAGGCCAGGCGCGGTGGTTCACGCCTGTAATCCCAGCACTTTGGGAGGCTGAGGCAGGTGGAGATCAGAAGTTCGAGATCAGCCTGGCCAACATGGTGAAACCCCGTTTCTACTAAAAATACAAAAATTAGCGGAGTCTAATGATGCGGGACTGTAATCCCAGCTACTCGGGAGGCTGAGGCAGGAGAATGGCTTGAACCTGGGAGGGAGAGGTTGCAGTGAGCCGAGATCGAGCCGTTGCACTCCAGCCTGGATGACAAGAGTGAAACTCTGCCATCCACCCCATCCCGCCCCCCCCACACACAAAAACTGATAGTACCTAACTCATAGGATTACTGTGAGAATTAAATGAAGCAACATCTATAAAGAAGTTAGCACAGTGCCTGGCACATATAAATATTCAATACATGTTAGCTCTAACTATTACCACCTTTGATTCCAGTAGCTATTTTGCAGCATTGCCTATGGGGATTTTTAAAAATGATGGATTATCAAGGTCTATCTACCACGGGAGATTAGAGCTCTGAAGGCCCGCGGGTGGCAGGGCAGAATGTAAAAGCTCCGTGGGGTTTCTGATGATAAAAAACTACTGCTCTGTTCAAATTTTTGTGTGGATGAGATCACACAGAATGTATGTGACCTTTGGATTTCCTGGAAACACGTCAGTATCTGAAAGGGCTTTTAAGCTGGTAAATGCTGTGCTAATTTGTTGAAGGACCTATCCTTTTTCCTTCCCCTCATACATAACAGTAACCATAGCTGCTAACATGTATTGAGTGCTTTCTATATATCTGACATTGCACTAAGTGCTTCAAGTACATTATCTCATTTATTCCTCTCCATAAACTCAGAAAGACTAACTTGCTCAAGCTCACACAGCTGTTAAGTGGCAGAGACAGGGCTTAAAAGCAGGTCCTTCCTTATCCACTGTGCCAGTCGTCCTCAAGTGTGAACTTGAATATTGGAATCACCTGGAAGGCTTATTGCACTCAGCTTGCTGGGCCCCATTCCCAGAGTCTGTGACTCAGTGGGGGCTGAGAACGTGTATGTCTAAGTTCCCAGGTGATGCTGTTGCCACGGATTCCACTTCGAGAACATCTTCTGTGTGCCTTCCTCTTATGGATTACACCTCTTAAAATCCACACCATACACTTTAGCACTTGGAAATCTGTTTTCCCAAGACTGCTTAGGGAGAAAAAGTGCAGATTCCTCCACTCTCTTCTTTGCTGTCCCCTTAGAAAACGACAGAAACATTTTAAGGATTAAGCTGGGCACAGTGGCTCAAACCTGTAATCCTAGTGCTTTGGGAGGTCGAGGCAGGCAGATCACTTGAGGTCAGGAGTTTGAGACCAGCCTGGCTAACATGGCGAAACCCCATCTCTACTAAAAATATAAAAATTAGCTGGGTGTGGTGGCGGCGCCTGTAATTTCAGCTACTTGGGAGGCTGAGGCAGGAGAATCGCTTCAACCCAGGAGGCAGAGGTTGCAGTGAGCCAAGATCATGCCACTGCACTCCAGCCTGGGTGACAGAGCAAGACTCCGTCTCAAGATGATGATGATGATGATGATAATAATAATAATAATAATTTAAGGTTTATATCACTGCTTACTATAAGGAACAGAAGGGAGATAATAGATCTTGTAATCTAGGGAAATTACAGAGTCCTGCATTCCAGAGCTGGTCTCCATTGAAAGTAACTGCACATCCTAGGAAACTGGTGTCTGCTTTGTTTTGGATGTTGCAGCTCACAAACCTCTATCTTCTTTCTAAATCCCCAAAGTAAAAGGCAATCTTCCTTTTTTCTACTTGAAAGCTTGTTTTCCCAATATACACAGGACTGAAAAGGCAATTGACACAAACCAATGGTTTACACTTCAGCCTCAAAATTTGCATTTTGAGGATCTTTGTGGGATACATACCAAGGAGAGGAGGAGGTGCGAGCTCCTTGGTCAAGGCCTGTTTGTGGAGACTACTACAGCCCCATTTCTCACTAGCCCCCAGCACCTGCCCTGTGACTTGCTTGGTGCCAGATCCTGGGAGATGGTGTTTCCAGAGCCTCAGAAGCCTGCCACACACTGGGACGGGAAGTCCCTGGCCCTGGGATAAGACCAAATTCCAGGCATCCCAAGTTGGAATGCTGAAAGAAAGCATTTTTTAAAGACAATGTTTCCCAAGGTCTCATATCTCTACAGGACACCCAGTTGGGTACTTTGGGTACAATTTGATTAATTGCACTGCTCTAAGAATTCCACAATTCCACCTAGACTTGTTACTAGAGGAAGATATGACACAAGCTCCAAACAGGTGAGTTGTAGACATTCTAAGCACAGTTTCTTTGCAAGATGGGGACTTGAGCAGGGAAGCATTTCCAAGTGTGGAAACCAGAGATTAGAAAGTCACAGAGCTTTGTTGCTTCACGCAGCACCAGCAGGACTGATATTTCAATGGAAGCACAGTACTCTTCTAGAAAAAGTAATGGAAATCTCTTACAAGCCAAGGAGGCTGCTGGGAAAGCAGGTTTATCTGAGACGGATGCTGTTGCTATTTCGGTATTTGTTTTAGTCAGCTGAAAGTTCATACCAGGGACACATTTGACCACATTCTTATTTCAAACGTTTTGGCTCCTGTAGATTCTATTTCAAATGTTGACAGCTAGAAACTTGTTAGCTTTACCGTTCCTGGAATTTGGATGGCCCTAGCTCTAGCTTGTTTTGAACTCTGATGGACTCTTTTCCCCGTCACTTTTTAAAACATTTCTTCAGAGCTTCAATCTCTCCATGTTTAATGTATGAGGCTGAATTATTTTTAAAATCTGATAAGGGTCAAATCATCCTTCCTGCTGCTTGATATAAGATAGTTGTCAAAAATATAGGCCATGTGTGGTGGCTCATGCCTGTAATCCCAGCACTCTGGGAGGCTGAGGCAGGCAGATCACCTGAGGTCAGGAATTTGAGACCAGCCTGACCAACATGGTGAAACCCCATCTCTACTAAAAATACAAAAATTAGCTGGCTGTGGTGGCAGGCACCTGTAATCCCAGCTACTCAGGAGGCTGAGGCATGAGAATTGCTTGAACCCGGGAGACAGAGGTTGCAGTGAGCCGAGATCATGCCATTGCACTCCAGCCTGGGTGACTGAGCAAGACTCTATCTCAAAAAAAAAAAAAACATATATATACATATAGATATGTAATTTTTTGAAAGATATATATAATTTTTTTGAGATACATATATATGTATCTCAATATATATATATATATATCAGAGATCTTTAAAAGTTATTGCCAGCTTAAGTGTGTGCACAGAAGAAAAGATCTGGACTCAACACTGAATTATTAACAGAGGTTACTTTGACAGGAGGGAGGAGGTGAGTGTTCTATCTATATCTCTTCTACTTTCTGCCTTAGTAAGTAAAATGCTGACCAAAGCCACATTTTTACATATTTCTATAATGTTTGCAAAATGTTTAATAAGGGACATGTATTACTTTTGTGAGAAGGGAAAAAATGGAAGGAAAACAATAAAATACTTTAAAAATGTATCGCCTTGTTTAAAAGATGAATTTTGGTTTAAATAGAAATATTATATAGGTTTTCAGGGTAACTCATCAAACTCTCCAGCAGGATACCCAGCGATAACATTCTTGGAAAGCAAGGGAATGAGAGCAAGATGCATTATGTCACAAGGAGAAGCTCTGGGCTGGCATGAGAGCCCACGTGGTATCTGCACCCTCCAGTTTGCTGCTCTCAGCCTCTTGAATTCTTCCCAGTATCTGCTCTGAATCCCCAGAGCTACAGCTCCTTCGAAATGGCATTAGTACAATCAATAGAAATGGTAAGTATGGTAATAACTCCTCTTGAGTGAGCTGAAACTAGCTTGAGTCCAAAGCTTGAGTCTCATTACTCATTTCCGGTATCTCATTACTAATCTTTTAGAATCATATTCTGTAACTGCCTCAGGTTGAATAATATGTCTGTCTTTATCACAGTAAATGAGAGTTGCCATTATATATTCCTCCATTCAATTTTTCTTATTGTAGAGTATATCTTTCCTATCTCTTTCTGTGCTATCAGTTGAATTGTTATCATTAATGATAGACTAGAAATCTTTTCAAGAGCTGTTATATTTCATAAGCCACTAGATATTATCTTATAAAAGAGTGATGCATATAATTTCCTTTAACTATGTTTCTCTATCTTCTTGTGAGGATCAAATAGGATCACAGATGTTCAAGCATTTTGTAAACTGTTGAGTATTCTGGCAATGTAAAGCATTGTTATTTTTAGTCCTGTGTGTGTCCCAGTTATAGAAAAGACTCTTAGCATTCCCAAAAGCCAAATATATTTCCATCTATGCATTATCATTTTGCCAGTATTTCATATACAAGGACATATGTTACACTCCCATTTACTATTAAAATCTGTGATATCAACCACTTGCATCATTAAATACATCTTATGTTTATTGTATTTATTGTTAATAATCTATACCATTCTGATATATTAAAGGCTATAAATTATAAAATGATTTAAAAACAAGTATTATCACATGTATGATGAAAGAGTGACCACATAAAGTAGTAAGACCTTTTCTGACCAAATACTGTGTTTCGATTGACTTTATTTTTTATTGACACAGCAAGTATTTACTGAGCACCTCTATGGTCTTAAGCGCTGTTTTACTATAGCGAAGTAATGAGGCACAGTCCTTGGCTCATTGGAGCTTATAGTTCCATAACCCTTAATTTTCTAAGAAATTTCATCAAAATATCTTTTTGCTTGAATCTTTGCAGTTGATATTCTTTCTTGGTCTTCTACTTTCTGCCTTAATAAGTAAAATATGGTTTACTTCTTGCTTAAAAAGTATGCAGTGCTTTAAGTCACTTCTCTGAATATCAACTGTTACTGTAAATGTGGATATAGAGGGCTTAAGAGGTTGGTCTGCATATGTACCAAACCCAGACTGTCCTGGCTTGGAATTCAGAGGGGGCCTGTGGAGAAGGGACTAGTTCCTACAAGTGGGCTCAGCAACTGAGGCCCAGACAAAAAACTCAAAAGCAAGAGGCACATGTCCCTGGGGGACAAAGCTCATGCCAGGGGGTGATGGCAAGAGAGTTTTTCAGTCCAGGTGACCTAGTTGTGAGATGAAGTAGAAGGATTTTTAAGTAGGTAACAGGGCATCCTGGAATCCAGGGCAGGGAGAGAGTTCAGAACTTTAGGCAGGAAGGCTAGTGTCACCAAGAAATTTGTCCATGGGTAGCAGAGTTGAAGCCCCTAGGCAGAACTGAAGACCTAGAGATGGTAACTGGTAATTGCACAAGACACAAACCCAGCTAAAATAGCAAGGAAATGAAAAAGAGACCATTGTTCAGGAGCCCGGTTATCAGACTTGGATCACTGTAATAGAGTCAGACATACTCTGATGTTGAGTCAGCAAGGCAAATTGAGAGGCTCAGGCCCAGAAGTACATGCTGATTCAGGTCAAGATGAAGGCTGGGTCTGCAGGTAGGAATGGGAGTTCAGCCTTACAGGGGTGGGGGGCTCAAGGAGAGGGAGGGAAAGAAACAGGGATCTTGCCTTTAGTTGTGCAACTTGTTCATTTGCATGAGGGCCTCCATCTTGGGGGACATGGAACAGGATGGAACAGGTCAGGTCAGGAATCCAGCCTGCATTTTGCTCACCAAAGCCTTGCGCTCTGGTGCTGGAATCCAGCAGCCCTGGGGAAGGTGCACCTTTTCTGGTTCACACACACACACACAAAAGTACCACATGGGCTAATATTGGCTTTGGAAACCTTGTATTCAGAGGCTAGAAACTAATTTAAAATATCCCAACTGCTAGGAGTATATCTCATATCTCAAGTGTATTAAGTCAGAAAAAAAAAATTTACAGGCTTCCAAAGTACCCAACGCTGCAGTCTCAGAAACCATGGTATGGTTAAAGAAGTGAGAAAATGTGTGTAGATTCAAAGTGCCTTTAGGATTCAGAGAATGGGGCAGATAAATATTGCTTCTGAGGGGTGCAAGCATGCTCAAGCTACTTGAATTTACATTATTTTGGAAAAATATATACACGACCCTTGGACACATTTTTATAATTTTGTCCTCACCAACTATTCCTCTCTGCATTGCAAGAGAATTGTCTACAGTTACTTCCCATTGGGTAGTATACTTATATTTTAGGAACACTTTATTGGGATTTCACCCCTTTGATTTACTCTTGCTTATAAAAGTAATAACCTCTTAGAATGTGATTATACAGCCTGATAAAATATTTACTATCTAGTAAATTACGTATCATTTAGATGATAGTGTTTTATTTAGGTCAACTGTTCAGGGCCCAATGCCCTTTTAAAACAGTCAAAGCATTTGATGGATTCATTGCTGAGTGCACTATAAATAAATGCTACCTCAAATTCCAGACAGTGAGCATGTGCTAGGGGGTACATCAGAGCTGCTGTTAACAATGCCTCTTTCAAGGTGATAGAAAGAGCCTGGACTTGTCAGTTGTCTGGAAGCCAGGGTCTAGTTTCCAGCTCTGTCAGTGACGAGGAAGGATTGTCTCCATGTTTCTTTTTTCTTTTTTTTGAGATGGAGTTTTGCTCTTTGTTGCCCAGGCTGGAGTGCAGTGGCGTGATCTCGGCTCACTGCAACCTCTGCCTCCTGGGTTTAAGCAATTCTCCTGTCTCAGCCTCCCAAGTAGCTGGGATTACAGGTGCGTGCCACCACACCAGGGTAATTTTTGTATTTTTAGTAGAGATGGGGTTTCACCATGTTGGCCAGACTGGTCATAAACTCTTGACCTCAGGTGATCCGTGCCTTGGCCTCCCAACCATGTTTCTTAATATGGGCTTCATTTCCTTCCTCTGTAAAGTGAGGAAGGGATTGAATATATCTGCACTTTGTCCAAGTATGTTTCACAGCATGCCAGTTCCAGAAGCTGTTAGGTGTTACCTGGACCAAAAACCAAAAAAACAGATTCTGTGATCAAAGAAGTTTGGAAAACAAAACCTCACAGAATTCTTTGCTTCAGAGCCTCTCAGAGTCTTCAAGAGGAGGGCACGGTAAGCTTTGATTCTGTAACTTATTTGACCAACAACTCTTTGTTTAGGAACATCTTGTGGGCTCATATATCTTAGAATATAGACTGAGAAAATACTGAACTACTTGGTCACTAGGATTCTTCCTAGTTCCCAAACTCTATGCTTCTAGTTCAGTTTGGAGAAATGAGACTGTTCCCTTTAGAGGACAGAGAGCAATGCCCCCTCTCTCTTGCAGCTCATGGTAAGATCTAAAAGTTAGTGATGTCTCCACTCTGCAATTTGTCTGAACCAGAAGAGTGGTCAAAATAGCAAAGACCAGATTTCATGATGGGGTTGAAGCTTTCCTTCTACTTAAGCCAAACATAATATCTCACTTTCCCATGTCAAATTTAGAGCTTTTCTTCACATTCTAAGAGAGAAGGAGAGATATTTGCTAGGGGAAAAAGCCAAAATGTTCATGAATAATCTACTTCATTCCAATCAATTAGGAAGAAAAACGCAGTCCGCAAAGCACATTCTGAATTGGTATAGTTGAGAGACCAAAATAGACTGGCACACAGTAGAATTAGATTTACTATTTCAAGCCCTGCTATATATTTATCCTTATTTGGTTGTCTTTTGCAGAGTTGCATGACTATGGAAATGAGAGTGACCTTGGGTCATGTAGCTGATCATCTTGTATCCAAGAAGTATTTCTCTCAAGTTCTCCTAATTACAGATTCAGCAGCGGGTCTATTGTGACTCCTGATTTTAGAGTGCATTCTACCTGACACGCAGTTTCTCTTACAGTAACCAGGTACCCATTGTGCTGTGATTGTGGTAGTAGCATGGACTGGAGAAATTTGATGATGTGTTGAATGCTAGTCATTTCCTCAGAAAAATGGCCAGGCGTGGTTCCATTTGCAGGGGTGGCTGTGTTTCATCTCACATCATCCACTTACCCTGGCCAAAGCGAGTTGAACCAGAGTCACCACCAGACCCAAAGACAGCCATGTATAGGCCAGCAGCTCTGCCTAGTGGGAACCACATTTATCAATGGTCCACCCAATCTGCAACACATGATGTCCTGATGACTTCCTCTCTCCTGGCACTCTGTCTGCTCTTCCCTCTCCTAACGCCCTCGCAGCCATCCTTCAAGGTACTATCCAGGCTTGCTTTCTCTGGCTCCCACACTGTCTTTCACGGGGATATCATGAAAGCCCTTATGGTGTCTTTGCTAGAATTGGGAAAACACACCCCTCTCATGTAAAATAGTCTTATTTAATGCATTAACCTCATTGCACACCTGCACACGCAGCAGCCTGTGAAGTACATGCCACTCTCATAACCACATGTGCCACTCACATCGTCTAGAAGCAAAAGCCCATAGGGTACCGTGAGCTGAGTGGCTGGTGGTACTTCCTAATATTACTAACATAACGATTCTCTCTGAAACCCCAGCCTCGCCCCAGCCCACTGTGTGTTCCACTCCAGGAGTCAGATCTGATTCTAGGTCCTGGTTTTTTCCTGTGTGCGCTGCTCTGTTGTAGTGGCTGCACCCATAGCTGACCACATCACAGATGGGTCACATGGAGCTCTGGACAATACTCTTCCCCAGCTGATCTTTGACAAGGTCCTTCCTTTCATCCCTTTATCAATAAGATTGGTTACGTTTGAAGCTGATTGACCACCTATGCCTAAAGAAGAGTGATTTATGTATCACCTGGAAGGAGACACCCGAGGTCACGCCACAGGTCTCTCCTCAGCCCTGGCCATTTCAACGTATTTATATGCAACTTGGACCTAGAGCTAGAAGGCAGGCTATTAAATTTTATGTAAGGCACAAAACAAGAAGGTTTGGTTATTTAATGAATGAGATGAATGACAGAAATGTCTCAAAATTACTTAGCTAGACAAGAACAAAAGTCAATCACACATAAAATGAACTTTAACAGGAATAAATCAAATTTTCAGAAAATACACAAGTGCAGGATGGGAGAGATTTGGCCTGAAGCACTTCCTGAGACAAAGAAATGGACAATTTAGTTGGCGATAATGCTGAAACAGTGGAGGTCATTGTGCGTCTGCCTAGGAGAAGTCTCTCCCACTCATTCCCATCTGTTCTGGGGGCCACTGTGGAGGAAGCGTCCTCCAAGAGCAGGCAGGCGAAGGGGAGTGACAAGGAGGGTGAGAAGTCTTAGCCAGCTTATCTAAGAAGAAATCATTGAGGGAGATATATTTAGGTTGGAGAGAGAAGAATTGGGAAGCTGATGCCTCTCTCAGGAGGCACAGAGAGAAGTTATATTGGGTAGATCATGTCTCTACACATGAGAACTTTTAAAAATTTGAAATGTCCCCAAAATGGAATTAGGTACTTTCTGAGCAAAAAATGAACATCTTTGTATGTCAACAAATATACCTCTACAACAGAGGTTCATAAATACATTTTTTTGTATTAATATGTACAAAGCGATGTAGAAGACATTCCTCCACTGAGGGACAGGTTAGAACTTGCAAGGTGGCTTATGCCACACAACATGGGCCAGCTCAGCTCCGCTGTCTCTGAAACTTTCTTTTGTCAGCAGAGCAAGAGTAGATTTATCTCTCAGGGGAAAAATTACGTTAATTAGGCTCATGAGTGAATGCCAGCTTAATATAGTATAATGAAAAATATGGCAAAAGAACCATAATGGGAAGCCAGATAACAATCAAAGTTGCAGGGGACACCCCCCTCTTGGAGGTTCTGGCAGATTAATTGGACATATAATAAGTAAGGAAAAACGTTTAGAATGATTGAGGATTCAGTGAAGTTTCCAGCTGTAAAAGAAATCTTAATAAAAGTTTCAACTTTTCTATACATTAGCTATACCCCATTAAAATACAAAACAGAGGGGAAGAAATCCACTATGTGATGATCACAACACTTTACTGACATAAACAAGAAGACTTGCCTCCATCATGCTTCTGCCCTAGAAGTCTTTTCTTTTTTCTTTTTTCCTTTTTTTTTTTTTTTTTTTTTTGAGACGGAGTCTCGTTCTGTCGCCCAGGCTGGAGTGCAGTGGTGTGATCTCGGCTCACTGCAACCTCTGCCTCCCAGGTTCAAGCGATTCTCCTGCCTCAGCCTCCTGAGTAGCTGGGATTACAGGCGAACGCCACCATGCCTGGCTAATTTTTTTGTATTTTTAGTAGAGACGGGGTTTCACCGTGTTGGTCAGGCTGGTCTGAAACTCCTGACCTCGTGATCGGACGCCTCGGCCTCCCAAAGTGTTGGGATTACAGGCATGAGCCACCACGCCCGGCCTAGAAGTCTTAATCACACAGGTTGTTAATTCTTCTCCTTTATGTTATAAATGTAATGCAATTCCTGTTAAAATCCAAATAAGATCTTCTTTTGTTGTTGTTGTTTGTTTTGTTTTGTTTTGTTTGAGATGAAGTTTCACTCTTGTCACCCAGGCTAAAGTGCAATGGCGCCATCTAGGCTCACTACGCCCTCCGCCTCCCGGATTCAAGCGATTCTGCCTCAGCCTCCCAAGTAGCTGGGACTACAGGCGCGGGCCACCATGCCTGGCTGATTTTTATATCTTTTAGTAGAGACAGGGTTTCACCATGTTGTCCAGGCTGGTCTTGAACTCCCGACCTCAGGTGATCCACCTGCCTGGGCTTCCCAAAGTGGTGAGATTACAGGCATGAGCCACCATGCCCTGCCTCAAATAAGATTACTTTTAAACCTTGTTAGAATGATTCAAAATTCATCTGAATAATAAACATTCAAGAAAGGTCAACATTTTGTTGAGAAAGCACTATGATGAGAGGGACTTGCCTCACAATGTTAAAATGCATGGTACTTTGCATTAATTAAAGTACTAGCTATAGCACAGAATAGGAATCTAGATCTGCAGAACAGAATAGTACCGGCCAAAACGCACTTCAGTGCATCTCATAGCTTAGTGAAGAAGTGGAGTATTTCAAATCAGAGGAGAAAGTTCAAAAAGGATTTGGGGACAAAATGAAACAATAAAAATAATGGAAAAAATATAGATGAATATCTACCGAAATAAGTTGGTAAATAAGTTGGGAAGAACTTTTAAAGCATGAAACCGAAGAAATAAATGTAGGTCAGTTTGACTACATAAAGTCTTAACACTGCTCTACAGCAGACAGATTAAGTTTGCTCACTTAATCCTATGCCTCCTTCGCCCTTGCCAGCCTCTTCCTAACTGTTGGGAGTGGCCATGAAATCGGTTCTGGCCAATAAGACATAAGCAAAGGTCGGCTGGTCTTGTCTCTTCCTCCACTCTTCTTCCTTCTGCCTGGAACACAGACCTGGTGGCTAGTTCTGCAGCGGCCATTTAATGATGATAAGGTAACAAATGGGAGGGGCTACGAGAGGACAGGGACGTGAGCTGTCACATTGTCAACTGTCTGAATCAGGTCCAACAGCTGCCTCTCTATGAGATGCTTGTTACATGAGATAATAAGTCCCCCTTAAGAGAGTGGAGCTGAGTTTTCTATTTCCTGAAGTTAAATTCATTCCTAACTGATTCTGAGCTTAAGGCAAAACACCATATTGCAGCAAAAGGCAAATAACAAAAATATTTGTACGATGGATCACAAAAGTTCATATCCTTATTCGTATAAGGACCTCTGTAAATAAGCAAGAAAGCTCTAGATATCCCATTGTTTAAAAAGGGGGCAAAGATTATGAATAGGAAGATTTTAAAAACAAGAAATTCGAGTGTCTAAGAAATTCATGAAAAAATTTCAACCTCATGACAAATTAAAACAATAGCCTAATGATTGATTCATCACCTATAAAACTGGCAAACACTGGAAAAATTACAGGATTATTTTCTGGAAAGCAATCTGGCAAAATGTATCAGAAGTTTTGGAATGTCCATGCCCTTTGAGAATCTGTGCAGGGAAATGGTTAAGGAGTTGCAAAGATTTGCTACAAGGATGTCTCCAACAATGCTGTTAATAATTGCAAAAGGATGGAAATGAAAGAAATATGCATGAGAGCTTTGTTAAATAAATTATAGGATTGCCCCCCATCAAAAATAATATGTAATTATGAACCTGCTGTCACAGAGGTATATTTGTTGATATACAAAGATGTTCATTATTCATTATTGAGTGAACAGCAAGTTGAACCCCACCCCAAAATAGAAACCTTTCTATTTTTGTTAATATGTATATTTGTATATTTCTGTGTGTGAAAAATGGCATGGAAGAAAATCTATCAAGGCATTAATGTTATCCCTGGGCTTGGCCCATATTTTCTGATGATTTCTGTTATAAACATGTATTACTTTTGAAATAAAATTATTCCTATAAAAATATTTCTTGGTAAATACGGAATTGAAACATGGGGAATTAGAATTGATTATTTAAAGGCATCAGGCTGAGATAAGCTGAGGTGTTTGTTTCACAGTAAGGATATCTAAACATTCCAAGCAATTCAAGCTTGTTCTTCTGCAAGGGAATTCATTGAGCACTCTTGATGTCTGCTTTGATGATGAGCTTTGGTGGCCTTTTCTGACGAGCGCATTTTGCTTCAGATAGTTTGATATACTCAATCCAGCCAAAGCCAAGTCCTCCAGCTCTCAGGATACTTCTGGGTTTTGTTTTGCTTTGGGTTTTCGTTTTGAGACAGGGTCTCCCTCTGTCGCCCAGGTTAGAGTACAGTGACACAACTTGGGCTCACTGCAACCTCCGCCTCCCAGGCTCAAGCAGTCCTCCCACCTCAGCCTCCCAAGTAGCTGGGACTACAGGCATGAGCCACCATACCTGGCTAATTTTTGTATTTTTTTTGTAGAGATGGGGTTTTGGCATATTGCCCAGGCTGAGGGTACTTCTGTTTTTAAGGTGACTTTGTATTTCTTTGTTATTATTCTGTCCTAGTGATTTGAAACTTAACTCTCAGAGAGTATCTTATTTCTCTTATTTCCAAGATTTTTGTGGGGAGGGAGGGATGAGAATATGCCTCATGATAGCCCCTAAATATTGGCTTAGAGACAAGTGTTGGATTCTCGTAGGCAGGTAATTAGTCTTTGCCTTAAGAGTAATGAGAAGGCAAATGACCAAGAACAATATGATCCTTTGGTAGCTCGATTCTGCCAACTCCTGTGCTAATGACTTCTAACTTACCATTTTTCACATTTCTGAATCCATCAAGCCATGAGCAAGAATTACATTTCCTTTGCTGTATTTCTCAATTTCACTGAAATACTAAATCCTAAAAATGATTATTTCCCTTATGGCAATTACCATCATGACCTTGCAAAAGCCACATGTGCCAGCTGGAACTTCTCCAGAATTTCTGTTTTAATGAAGGAAAATATTTTATTAAACTAAGAGCATGACTGATAGGAAAGTAGGATGCATGGGAAAATAGTGAAGTTTATTATCATTACATCTGTTGCCCGGGGCCCATCAGGAAATAGAAAACCCCTCAGCTGGTTCAGCGGAAGGTTCTTTGGTTTTTGTTTGTTTGTTTGTTTCCTAGATGGAGTCTCTCTCTGTCGCCCAGGCTGGAGTGCAATGGTGCGATCTCGGCTCACCACAACCTCTGCCTCCTGGGTTCAAGCGATTCTCATGTCTCAGCTTCCCAAGTAGCTGGGATTATAGGCACGCACCATCATGCCCGGCTAATTTTTGTATTTTTTAGTAGAGATGGGGTTTCACTATGTTGGCCAGGCTGGTCTAGAACTGCCGACCTCAAGTGATCTGACCATCTCGGCCTTCCAAAGTGCTGGGATTACAGGCGTGAGCCACCACACCTGGCCTGTTCAGCGGAAGGTTCTTCAACCAAGGGACTATCACTAGGGATGTGGGCAGGGAGCTGATGAAAGGCTGGGGCATTCGGATACTAGCAACAGTGGGAAGCTGTTACAAACCCTGGGCCTCAAGGGAGATGGGGTGGGAGCGTGGACGTTTTGAAATCCAGTGATCTGGCAGAGCCAGGAACTCCTGGAGGGATGTCACAAGTCCCAGAACCAGGCACCAAAAGTGTGAAGGGAACAGGGAAACAATGCCCAGCTTCCTGCCCTAGGATGTCCTCTGGTGCCTCCCATTGACCCAGTCTTAGCAGAAAGCAGCTGAAAAGGACCCCACAGGAGTTCTTTGGAGCAGAGAAAGGCCAAGAGGGTAAAGAATGGATGTGAGGGCACAGGTGGAGAATGACCAGCTTGCTCTCTGACGGAATGTTTTGTCCTTGAAAAGAGATAACACTTCAAGTAAAATTTTGGCAATGCTTAGCTGTGCTTCCTCAAGGTTCAGCTGTGTGGTTTCAGGACCTTATAATTTTCAAAAGATAATGAAAAAAATCAGGTTCAGTGGAATCCCAAAGAAACATATTGTTAGGGACTAATAAATGTTTGTGTCCCTTCAAAATTCTTATGTTGAAACCCTTAATTCCCAATGTGGTGGTATTTGGAGGTGAGGCCTATGGGAGGTAATTAGTTTTACATGAAATCATGACAGTGAGGCCCCCACAATGGGATTAGTGTCCTTTTAAGAAGAAACACCAGAGAGCATGCTTTCTTTCTCTAAATGTGAAGGCACAGCAAGAAGGTGGCTGTCTGCAAGTCAGGAAGCGAGCCCTCACCAGAAATCAACAGTGCTGGCACCCTGATCTCAGACATCCAGCCTCCAGAACTATGAGAAATAAATTTCTGTTGTTGAAGCAACCTCGCCTATGGCATTTTGTTATGGCAGCCCAAACTAAGATACATACCTACAATGAAACATGCATATGTTGAAGGCAGTACTTGCCATCATTTATCAAGCACATGCTTGGTGCTAGGCACTGTGCAAAGTGCTTTATCTGCCCAGAGTCATTTAATCTCCACACCTGTGGGGTAGATACTGTGACCCCATTTGACACAGGAAGAAACTGTTGTCCAAGGAATTGTTCATCCATCCTCCAAAGTCACATAACTAGCCAGGGTGGAAGCTTTCTGTCTCTAGAGGGCAGGCTGTTGTCACTGGTGATAGTTGCTGCCACAAACTGGGACCCTCTGTTCAAATGCCCAGAGTGGAGGGGGCAGCTGCTGTCCCCAGTCACAGGAGGGCTGGGACAGGTGGTTTGGGGGACAGGCGGTTTGGAGGTTGGGCAGTTTGGGGGTCAGGCAGTTTGTGGGTTAGGCAGATTGCTTGCCTGTTGTCTAGCTTCTCTCACCAGGATGACAGTAGGAACCTGGCCAGTCTTGTTCATCACTGTATCCACACAGCTTGGCATGTAGCAGGTGCTCAGTAATGTTTGTGAAGTGAATACATGACCCCACCAGATAGAATCAATGTTTGTAACTTACATTGTTTTCACCTGATGACTTTGTGGTTGTGCAAAAATCACCTTTAGCAAAGATAAATGTACTGAAATGTTTTTTTAAATCAGTGGTGTCGAAGTGTATCTGAGCACGGAAACCGGTTGAAACTAGTTGCCACTTCCAATCTGGATCACTAACGTGAGCAGCCCAGCAGGGCAGGTGTGGGAAGTGACACTGCGTGTGGGCTGGCATCATCAGTGTGGTCATAGAGCCTCAGTGCCACAGCTGACATGTGTGCAGAACCTATCTGATGCCATTTAAATATTTTTTGGTTTCTGTTAATTTCATTTTTATTTTTTGTAGAGATGGGATCACACTATGTTGCCCAGGCTGGTCTCAAACTCCTGGGCCTGAAGCAATCCTCCCGTCTCAGCCTCCTAAAGTGCTGGGATTACAGGCATCAGCCACCACATGCAGTCATCATTTAAATGTCTGTGAGAGCCGTGGCTTGGCTATATAGGAAGATGAAAAGAGTTCAAAGTCAAAACAGCAGTGACAGAAGCTGGGCACGTTGGCTCGTGCCTGTAATCCCAGCACTTTGGTAGGCCAAGGTGGGCGGATCACGAGGTCAGGAGCTCAAGACCAGCCTGGCCAATATGGTGAAACCCCGTCTCTACTAAAAATACAAAAATTAGCCGGGCGTGTTGGTGCATGCCTGTAGTCCCAGCTACTCGGGAGGCTGAGGCAGAAGAATTGCTTGAACCCAAGAGGTGGAGGTTGCAGTGAGCCGAGATTGTGCCACTATACTCCACACTCCAGCCTGGGTGACCGAGCGAGACTCCATCTCAAAACAAACAAACAAACAAACAAACAGACAAACAAAACAGTAGTGACAGAATAGAGAAGTTTAACTGAAACCTTGGTTGAGGAGATGGTTTCCATGTTCCACATCAGGCAGCAATGTTGAAAGAAGTTTGAATATCCCTGATGAATATCGATGCAAAAATCTTCAATAAAATACTGGCAAACCAAATCCAACGGCACATCAAAAAGCTTATCCACCACAATCAAGTTGGCTTCATCCCTGGGATGCAAGGCTGGTTCAACATATGCAAATCAATAAATGTAATCCATCATATAAACAGAACCAAAGACAAAAACCACATGATTATCTCAACAGATGCAGAAAAGGCCTTCGACCAAATTCAACAGCCCTTCATGCTAAAAACTCTCAATAAACTAGGTATTGATGGGACGTATCTCAAAATAATAAGAGCTATTTATGACAAACCCACACCCAATATCATACTGAATGGGCAAAAACTGGAAGCATTCCCTTCGAAAACTGGCACAAGACAGGGATGCCCTCTGTCACCACTCCTGTTCAACATAGTGTTGGAAGTTTTGGCAAGGGCAACTGGGCAAGAGAAAGAAATAAAGGGTATTCAATTAGGAAAAGAGGAAGTCAAGTTGTCCGTGTTTGCAGTTGACATGATTGTATATTTAGAAAACCCCATTGTCTCAGCCCAAAATCTCCTTAAGCTGATAAGCAACTTCAGCAAAGTCTCAGGATACCAAATTAATGTGCAAAAATCACAAGCATTCCTATACACCAATAACAGACAGAGAGCCAAATCATGAGTGAACTCCCATTCACAATTGCTTCAAAGAGAATAAAATACCTAGGAATCCAACTTACAATGGATGTGAAGGACCTCTTCAAGGAGAACTACAAATCACTGCTCAATGAGATAAAAGAGGACGCAAACAAATGGAAGAACATTCCATGCTCATGGATAGGAAGAATCAATATTGTGAAAACGGCCATACTGCCCAAGGTAATTTATAGATTCAATGCCATCCCCATCAAGCTACTAATGACTTTCCTCACAGAATTGGAAAAAGCTACTTTAAGCTTCATATGGAACAGAAAAAGAGCCCGCATTGCCAAGACAATCCTAAGCCAAAAGAACAAAGCTGGAGGCATCATGCTATCTGACTTCAAACTATGCTACAAGGCTACAGTAACCAAAACAGCATGTTACTGGTACCAAAACAGAGATATAGACCAATGGAACAGAATAAAGCCCTTGGAAATAATACCACACATCTACAACCATCTGATCTTTGACAAACCTGACAAAAACAAGAAATGGGGAAAGGATTCCCTATTTAGTAAATGGTGCTGGGAAAACAGGCTAGCCATATGTAGAAAGCTGAAACTGGATCCCTTCCTTACACCTTATACAAAAATTAATCCAAGATGGATTAAAGACTTAAATGTTAGACCTAAAACCATAAAAACCCTAGAAGAAAACCTAGGCAATACTGTTCATGACATAGGCATGGGCAAGGACTTCATGACTAAAACACCAAAAGCAATGGCAACAAAAGCCAAAATTGACAAATGGGATCTAATTTAGCTAAAGAGCTTCTGCACAGCAAAAGAAACTACCATCAGAGTGAACAGGCAATCTACAGCATGGGAGAAAATTTTTACAATCTACCCATCTGACAAAGGGCTAATATCCAGAATCTACAAAGAACTTAAACAAATTTACAAGAAAAAATCAAACAACCCCATCAAAAAGTGGGCAAAGGATATGAGCAGACACTTCTCAAAAGAAAACATTTATGCAGCCAATAGACACATGAAAAAATGCTCACCATCACTGACCATCAGAGAAATGCAAATCAAAACCACAGTAAGATACCATCTCACGCCAGTTAGAATGGTGATCAATACAAAGTCAGGAAACAACAGGTGCTGGAGAGGATGTGGAGAAATAGGAACACTTTTACATTGTTGGTGGGACTATAAACTAGTTAAACCATTTTGGAAGACAGTGTGGTGATTCCTCAAGGATCTAGACTAGAAATACCATTTGACCCAGCCATCCCGTTACTGGGCATATACCCAAAGGATTATAACTCATGCTGCTATAAAGACACATGCACACGTATGTTTATTGCGGCACTATTCACAATAGCAAAGACTTGGAACCAACCCAAATGTCAATCAGTGATAGACTGGATTAAGAAAATGTGGCACATATACACCATGGAATACTATGCAGCCATAAAAAATGATGAGTTCATGTCCTTTGTAGGGACATGGATGAAGCTAGAAACCATCATCCTGAGCAAACTATCTCAAGGACAGAAAACCAAACACTGCATGTTCTCACTCAAAGGTGGGAATTGAACAATGAGAACACTTGGACACAGGGTGGGGAACATCACACGCCAGGGCCTGTTGTGGGGTAGGAGGAGTGGGGAGGGATAGCATTAGGAGATATACCTAATGTAAATGACCAGTTAACGGGTGCAGCACACCAACATGACACATGTATACATATGTAGCAAACTTGCACGTTGTGCACATGTACTCTAGAACTTAAAGTATAATAATAATTAAAAAAAGAAGTTTGAAAGATTAGATAATGCTGTCACTTGAACCCAGGTGTCATGAGCTTTAAGATTAACAACACCTTCTGTAAGGTAAGGACTTATTTTCCTATATGGTCAGACTACAAGAAAAGCTCACTGGTCCATTAGTAGCAGTAGTAGTAGTAGTAGCAGCAGCAGCAGCAGCAGTAGTAGTAGTAATAGTAGT